>NC_000001.11:59099289-59250804 GCF_000001405.40 Homo sapiens | reverse complement strand
TTTCTAAATTGTATTTTCCTACATTTTTAAAAAGTTATGCAATAACATGTGAATCGCTATTATAATCTCTCTCATATATATATGACTATTATAATCTCTCTCTGTATATATTTTTCTTCCAGTTTTTACCTGAGATGTTAGAAGAGGGAATCAAGCATTTGGATGATTTAACTAACAAGTATTGAGTATCTTCCCTAGGCTAGACAGCTCTATCAATGAATTGCCTGCATATGATTGTGCTAGGTGCTGTAGATACAAAACATTGGACTGAGTTGCTATTAAAACTCATTTCTGATCTGGGTTCTTTGTCTCTCATTTCTATGACCAAAAAAAAAAAAAAAAAGCAGAAATTAGACATTATGTCACAGAGGAAAGGAAGCATAAAATAAATACTTTTTATTTTTAGCAGAAAGGGTAGACAAAATTTGGTTTGTGCCCAAGAATCAGTAGAATGGGCAGGCTTGCAATGTTCACTCCTGGGAAGGAATCTAGACATAAAAGTCCTTTCTGGAAGATAATCAGAGAGAGAGAGAGAGGGAGAGAGAGAGAGAGAAATAGTTCAGGGTGTTTTTGTAATTTATTGAGCTATTCTTTTAAGGTCTGGAGAGAGTACCCCTTCTTCCCACTGCATTTTAGTATCATTCCTGTCAACATAAACCCCACAAGGGTCATAGGCAGAGGAAAAAGTGTGTCTGTTTTTATTTGTTTGTGTTTCAGAAGCCAGAGGGAGAATAAATAAAAACTGCAGACCAAGAGAATAAAAGGCTATGGGAAGTAAGCAACGTCCAGGCTGATTGTGTCCTTGGGGATGGAGTCCTATTGGGCCTCTGTATGCTCCATGTCGTACATCTTTGGAATGACCTCAGGACTGAGTTTCTTGCTTTCAAAATTGGTTGCTCTGGGAGACAGCATGCTGACATCTGAAAAACTTGGGACTTGGATTCAGAGTGTCTGAGTCTTGGTCCAGGCTTTCACCCAAAAAAGTGGGGTGGCCTGAGCATGTTATTTATGCTGTTAGCTTCAGTTTCCACATCTCCAAAGTTGGGGGAAATAATATTTACCTGAAAGAGCTTGTCTGTGAATTAAATCTTCTGCCTTTTATGTTTCAATAGTTTCTTACTTTCTTGCAGAGAGAGCCCGCGTCCCTTGGTCTGACATATGAGGCCTTCAACTGACCCCACTCTCTTCTCATTCCACTCTGCTTTGAGTGTCCTGTGATCAGCCATACCTCAGAACTTGCATTATTCTTTCAGTGTTTTCTCACAGCCCTCATTCCTTTACACAAATAACTCCCTCTTCATGCAAAACCCCTTTCTGCATTATCTGGCTAACAAACTTCTCTTCCCTGAAAACTCAGCTTTTCTTTGGTAAGTCTTCCCTTGTTCCATAGGCCTAATTAATTGTGGCTTCTTTGCCAATCCGTTTCATCTGTGTAAACCTCCAATTTAGCAAGTATAATTATTTATGCATCTATCTTTCCTAGAAAATACAGAGTTCCTGTATTATAAATCTTCATTTCCCCAGTGAGTAATGTCCCATAACAAGTGATGAGCAAATGTAGGTCAAGTAAATACATACAATGTCAGGAGTTTGGAGGCAAAACATTTCTGATGAAATGTCAGAGAGAAGCAGAAAGACCAAAAATGAGGTCTAGATTCTGATGCTGGCTCTCATCTCAACAAGTCATCCTTTCTGGGCCTTGATTTTCTCATCTTAAAGCAAAAGGATAGCACCAGATATTCTCTAAGACTCTTGTCAACTCGAGTATCTTCTAATTGTTCTGCTTTTGTGAAACAGCAGAGATTCTACTTTTTTTGCTAAGGGACCCACATCTGAAGGCAGTTAGAAGTAACCACAAAGTAGGGTACAAGACAGAGACAGACTCTACTATAGTGGAAAGGGTGTTAGATTAGACTAGAAAATCAAGGTTTAAGTTTTGTCTCTACTGCTTCCTAACAACTATAAGATTTTGCTCAGATAAATTATTTCTTTTCTGGGAACTTTATTTCTCTCATTTGTGATATGGGAAGAATAAAGCTGTAGCAAAGGGCTTGTCAGGATTAAATTGGTAATACATACTATAATTCTGTCTACCCAAAACAGAGAATTGCTATTTTGATTATTATCACTCTCACCAATTTTGAGTTTTGAAAGGCCTACCTAAAAAACCAGAGGGGCTTTTTGAGAGTTTCTTAAAAAGAGATCATTGATGTTAAATTACTGGCCAGGAATTCACACTCCAAATTTTACAATCAAAGTCTTTACAATGTTCATTCCGCTAACTGCTTGATTCCACAGCTACAGCCCTCAACCACTCCAGCTTTGAAGTTAGGCATAAATTAGACCATCTTCAGCTTCTACATTGGGATGAAAATTATTCAGTGGTGAATTGTCTCATAAACTGTGATCAAATGTACCATCAAACAACACAATAGACATTGTAAGCAGTATAATAATTTCTCAGTGATGCTGGGATGGAGTGCGAGGGCTCCCAGGCCTCAGAGAAGCTGATACATATCTGCTCAAATAAAGTACTGTTTTCTTCTTGATTTCATTGAGAATAACCTCAGATGTCAACTGTGTATCTCTATGTCTGTGTATTTATATAAGCTAGTTTATGACTTATATAATCCAGGCACCAAAAAATATAAAGTATTTCACAATGTTTTTATGATGAGAGTTTAGAAGTATATGGCATTCTTGGCTCCCTCTTAGAATCCGTCTATTGACTTACAGCTGAACTTTCTGGATAACATGACAATACAGATGAGAGTAGCAGCCGCCCAATTGTCTACATGGACCCTTAGTACCACTCATCCCTCCTGTCCCTATTAAGAACACTGAGAAGCAGCAAGCTCATGGTCTGAAAGTCACAGGCGTCACTCTAAAATTCTTGCTGAGACTGTAGAATTGTAAGGCAGCCAGTAGGGTTCTGGGGTAAACCCCAGGCCCACAGAGAAGCTGGACTCTGAGGAAAGTGGTCACTTGACTTCCTCCCTCATCTCCTGTTCAACATATTCTTCCAGAGAAGTGGGAGAGGACACAGGGAAAAGAAAAAGGTGTGAGAGTCATTTCACAGTTTGTCAAGATAAGAATTTGTGCATGTAGGCCAGGCACAGTGGCTCACGCCTATAATCCCAGGACTTTGGGAGGCCAAGGCCAGTGGATCCCTTGAGGACAGGAGTTTGAGACTAGCCTAGCCAAAATGGTGAAACCCCATCTCTACTAAAAATACAAAAACTTAGCTGGGTGTGGTAGCAAGTGCCTGTAATCCCAGCTACTGGGGAGGCTGAGGAAGGAGAATTGTTTGAACCTGGGAGATGGAGGTTGCAGTGAGCTAAGACTGCATCACTGCACTCCAGCCTAGGTGACAGAGCAAGACTCCATCTTGAAAAAAAAAAAAAGAATTTATGCACCTAATCTTTTTAGCATAATAGCATCGGATTTATTATCTACTCATTTCAATAGATACTTGGCAAATACTGCTTTCTGTTAGTGATTGTGTTTTTATATACAAAATGTGAGTAGTATAGTATGATGGTGAAGAGCTCAGACTCTGAGATCAGAGAATTTGGGGCCAAATCCTGGCTCTGCCATTTATCAACTACATGACTTTGGGCAAGTTATAAAAGCTTATTGGTCTCAGTTTTTTATGTCTGTAAAGGGAGATAATCTTTTTCTCCTACCTCATAATTGTTATAAAGTTTCAGTGCCACAAAAGAAATAGCACTAGAATATCAAATTTTCTTTTTTCTTCTCAGCAAGGCAATTTACTTCTATAGAAGGGTGCACCCTCACAGATGGAGCAATGGTGAGCACACACCTGGACAAGGGAGGGAAAGGAATTCTTATTCCTGACGCATGTGGCTAACATAAGGATGCTATGATGACTAATGAGATATTACCTGTAAGGCACTTAGAATAATGTTCAGCACCTGGGAAAACTGGCTACCATAAGCAGAAAACTGAAACTGGACCCCTTCCTTACCCCTTATACAAAAATTAACACAAGATAGATTAGATACTTAAATGTAAAACCCAAAACCATAAAAACCCTAGAAGAAAATCTAGGCAATACCATTCAGGACATAGGCATGGGCAAAGATTTTATGATGAAATCACGAAAAGCAATTGCAACAAAAGCTAAAGTTGACAAATGGGATCTAATTAAACTAAAGAGCTTCTGCACAGCAAAATAAACCATCATCAGAGTGAACAGGAAACCTACAGAATGGGAGAAAATTTTTGCCGTCTACCTATCTGACAAAGGTCTAATATCCTGAATTTACAAGGAACTTAAACAAATTAACAGGAAAAAAAACAAACAACCCAATCAAAAAGTGGACAAAGGACATGAAGAGATACTTCTCAAAAGAAGACATTTATGCAGCCAACAAACATATGAAGAAAAGCTCAACATCACTGATCATTAGAGAAATGCAAATCAAAACCACAATGAGATACCATCTCATGCCAGTTAGAATGGCGATTATTAAAAAGTTAAGAAATAACAGATGCTGGCGAGGCTGTGGATAAATAGGAACACTTTTACACTGTTGGCGGGAATGTAAATTAGTTCAACCATTGTGGAAGACAGTGTAGTGATTCCTCGGGGGTCTAGAACCAGAAATACCATTTGATCCAGCAATCCCATTATTGAGTATATATGCAAAGGAGTATAAATCATTCTACTATAAAGACACATTCACATGTATGTTTATTATAGCACCATTTACAATAGCAAAGACATGGAACCAACCCAAAAGCCCATCAGTGATAGACTGCATAAAGAAAACATGGTATATATACATCATCAAATACTATGCAGCCATAAAAAGGAATGAGATTATGTTTCTTTGCAGGAACATGGGTGAAGCTGGGAGCCATCATTCTTAGCAAACTAACACAGGAACAGAAAACCAAACACCACATGTTCTCACTCATAAGTGGGAGCTGAACAATGAGAACACATGGACACAGGGAGGGGAACAACACACACCGGGGCCTGTCATGGGCAGCAAGGGGTGGGAGAGCATCGGGACAAAGAATTAATGCATGCGGGGCTTAATACCTAGATCATGGGTTGGTAGGTACAGCAAACCACTATAGCATATGTTTACCTATGTAACAAATCTGCATGTTCTGCACATGTATCCAAAACTTAAGGTAAAAAAAAAAGAAAAAATAATGCTCAGTACCTAGATTTTTTCAGTGGCTATCAGCTGCTTATTATTCTACCTTGTGAGCTTCTTAAGGGCAAGGACTATGAATTCATTCATTCAACAAACAATTACCAAGTATGTACTATGTGCCAGGCATTGGATTTACGGAGATGGTTAGCACACTAGTACCTGACAACAGAGTCTAGTGGAAATCAATAGGTACTTTTCTACAAATATGGAGATGAGTCCTATGTGAGGTATGTAGAAGATAATAAGGGACCTCAGTGTTACAATGATTAATTTTGTCCAAGAGAGCCAAGAAGAATTCAACCTTGAAGTTGGAAAGGCATATACCAGATTCAAAAGGCAGAGAGAACTTTCTAGGGGAAGTGCATGTTAGATACTTACACATATCTGTGTATGTGTGTATACACATAGGAATATATATACATATATATATATTCAAGATTGAACATATGTATACATATGGAATATTGTTAAATCATCTCTGAGAGATATGATTTTAAATTTCCCATTATGACTACAGATTTGCTGATCTGTCAGTATTTGTCCTATAAGTTTTTAGTCAATATTAGGTAAATACAAGTTTATGACTGTTATATCTTCCTGGAGGAGGTTCTTTTCATTATTATCTAGTATTTTCTATTTTTACTAATGCTTTTTTTCTTAATTTGTTTTTGGTCAAATACTAATATCGTTACCAGCTTTATTTGATTCATATGTTACATCTTGTTTCATACAATTTAGTTTCAATCTTTGGGCCATTTTGTTTTGAATATGTCCCTTTCATGAAGTGTATAGCCAAATGACCTAAAAATCTAATGTGATAATCTCTAGCTTTTAATAAATGAATTTAATTCATTTACCATTATTTTGATTACTACTTTTTGGATATATTTTTACCATTTTATTTTATTTCTTTTTTCTTCTTACTAATGAATATCATTTGATGGTTCTTAAAACAAGTCTTTATAGGTAGAAAATACTCTTCTTTTGTGAATCTGAATATGATTTTATTTTTCTTACTTCTTTTTATGGTCTGAACTGTGTTTCTCCCCCACACCCAAATTTATATGTTGAAGTTCTAACCCCCAGTCCTTACAATGTGACTGTTTAGAGCTAGATCCTGTAAAGGGGGTGATTAAGTAAAAATGAGGCTGTTTTAATCCAATATGACCATATTTTAATCCAATATGACCAGTGCCCTTTTAAGAAAAGGGAAATTGGACACATAAAGAGACACCAGGGATGTCCATACATAGGGAAAAGACTATATGAGGGTACAGTGAGAATCCAACCATTTGCAGGCCAAGGAGAGAGGCCTCGGGAGAAACCCAAACTGCCAACACCTTAATCTTGGACTTCTAACCTGAAAGACTGTAAGAAAATAAATTTCTATTGTTTAAGCCAGTTGGTCTGTGATATTTTGTTATAGCAGCCCTAGCAAACTCATACACTCTTGAATGACAGTAATACAGGGTGTAGAAGTCTAAGTCAAATATTTTCCTCTCAAACATTTTGAAGATGTCTGTTTTCTTCTGGCAGAGATTGCTGCTAATGAATTACTTGCTGTCAGACTCACTGTCATTCTGTGGTAGGTAATTTGTCCATTTTCTATAGTAGGTTAGAAGATATTCTTTCTATCCATGATATTGTGCACTTTTTATGTCGGTATATTTCTATTTTTATTTATCTTTTGGCCCTCTTGTGTTTTCAGTCTCAGTCCAGTGGTCTGTTTTCTATGCTGAAAAAATTTCATTCATTGTCTTTTCAAATACTGCTTTTCTACCCTTCTCTATGAGCCAATCATAGTTAGCTTGGCTCAAGTCCTAGTTGCACAGCTGTTCTGCTCCCTGCTGGAGCTTTATAGAAACCCCAACCCTGGGCAACAGGTGGTGTGACATTAAGCCTCCTTTTGTGGATAGGAGAGTTCTCCCCTAGAACTAAAACTAGTTCAGTTTTAGTGCACAATAGTCAGTCTGGTTCCCTGCCACATTTGGTTCTCAATGCCCCAGAAATTCAACTGCCAGCTGTCTTGGATAGTTAGGTGAAGAGCCTTGCAGAGCACACCTTTGGCTTCCTGATTAGTGCTATGTGTTTTCTTTTATTTATAGACCACAGAGGTGCTTATCTTTCTTTTAACTGTGATTTTCAGAAACTTTTTATTTTAAAATAATTTTGGTCTTACAGAAGAGTTTCAGAGATAGTATAGAAAGTTCCCATATACCTTTCACACAACTTATCCTAATGTTAACATCTTATATAACACAGTTAGGTTTTTAATTTTTTTCTTTTTTGTACTGAATATTTGACACTCAAAGGCAGTGGAAGCATGAATGCACTGAGCCACCTTGACCAAAAGCTCTAACCCAGAAATGTTTCCCTTGATTAGCCATTTAATCACCCATCCATGCATTCAACAAAGATGTTTTCAGCTTATGATGTTAGCACTGTCCTAGGCACAAGGAACATGGCAGTAAACAGACCAGGCAAACATTCCTGCCCCTGTGTTGTTAAAATGTTAGTGTTGGAGATAGACGTAAAGGATATAAAAATGGTAAAATATATAGTGTATTAAATAGTGGTAACTGCTAAGGAGAAAAGGAAAGCATGAGGAGAGGATAAGAAGTGTTAGGGGATAGTGGGGGATTGTTTGCAGTATTCAATATGAGGCTGGGAAGGCCTCTTTGAGAAGGACAATTGAATGAATACCTAGAGAGGTGTGGGTGTGAGCTGTACAAATATCAGGGGAAAACAGTCCTCCAAGTAACCTTGAGAACTAGGCATTATAACCACAAGGAAACAGGTTTAGAGGAATTAAGAAACTTGCTTCTGCATACAGCCAATAAATGGAAGACCTGTGATTTGAATCCAGGTCTTCCTGACCCCAGAGCTTGTGCTCTTATCTGGGTAGCTAAGCACAGATTTACAAAGAGTCACGTATATCCCTTCAAAGGGTGCATTCTGGTCCTTTTACTCACATAACAGTACAAATCCATGGTGTTCTCATAAACCTTTCAAGAAAACCCTAGAAATCTATTTACAGAGTACTTGAGGTTTTTCAACAAGTTGTTTTCGTTGAACTAGCTGAGCTTCATAAAATATGACTTTGACCTTTCCAGCCAGTGGTCCAGGAGCTGGAGTGGTCATGGCCAGTGTGGAAAGTGGCCAGTGCCTCTGTGCAGGGCAGCTCATTTGTCAGCTCCCACACCAATAGGAAAGCTAATAATTCTTCTCTAGACTGTTTGTTCTTATTTTGTTACCTTTGGGCACTCATATCATCCATTTTTCGTCAAAATATATCATGGAAAAGAGCCTTTATGAGTAAACCCTACTGATTCTTACAAAGCAGAGAGACAACCAGTTTAACTTAAAACGGGTTTGGATTACAGGGAATTTTAAAGGACAGCACATATAATTTTTACTTTAGAAGCCATGTAACAATATTATTCTGTGCCCAAGAGGTCTCATGGGGTCATTTTAGTGTTTGTAAGACTCTCCTGAAGTGTTTAAACATAGATTCCTGAGCCAGACCTTCAGGAATGAGATTCAAGTCATCAAGGACGATAAGGCATCTACCTATTCAGCACTTACCCCTCCCACAAGTGACCTTCTTTTTGGTTCAGAAGGTCAAATGCAGATTCCTCCTGAAGAAATTAATAGCCTCTCCAGGATAGACCCCAGCCTACCTCACCAAAGATTCATTAATTTTGTCACTGTCATCTCTCCCCCGTGCTCCTTGTTCCTTACTCCTTCCCTTCATCATCCCATGTACATACATCCTGACCATGGCACACTAGTTCCTATTTCCTTGAACTTTTCCACTCGTATAGTTTTGTTCCAGTGAGTTGAGTTCCTTGCCTGAAAAGCTTTTTCTCTCATCCCTGCATGTCAAGTTCCCACTCCTTGTTCAAGACTCCATTCACCCTATAAGCCTTCCTAATCTTTCAGTTAAAATTAATTCTTCCCTTTTTGTGTTTCCACAGTTTGGGGGAAAAAAAGGACAAGGAAGAGGAGGAGAAAAAAGCGGAGGAGGAAGAGGAGAGAAGGAGGATAGGGAGAAAGAAGAAGAAAATGAAGAGGAAAAGGAGGTGGGGAGGAGAGGAAAGATGAGGAGAAAGAGGAAAGAGAGGAAAGCGAAAAGGAGATACTGTTATGGTGGATCTTGACATGGCTTGCCCACAATAGGTCCAAATGGGTGACTTTTATCCTTCTACCCTTCAGAGGCCTAGCTTTTTTTTTTTTTTTTTTTTTTTTTTTTCAGAAGAACACATTCACTAAATCTTTGTTAACTTAAGAGGAGGATTGTTAGCAATTAGCACATTAATTGCTATGGCCCTGCAATATCGTTGCCTATATACTTGTATGTTTGGCTCAGAAATTCTTCTTTTTATTCTTTTTCACATTTCAACTTTTACCCTAAGCTTTAGCTCAGATCTAATTGGAATTCTTGAAAGTCACTTGGAGTTGGGCTCTGCATTCTTGCTGAGGCTGTATAGTACACCAGGGTGAAGAGTAATAAGCACAGAGCATGGGCATAGTGGCTCACACCTGTAATACCAGCACTTTGGGAGGCGGAGGTGGGAATATTGCTTGAGGCCAGGAATACAAGGCCAGCCTGGGCAACATAGAGAGATCCTGTCTCTACAAAAAATAATAAAAATTAGCTGGGCATGGTGGTGCACACCTGTAGTCCTAGATACTCAGGAGGCTGAGGCCAGAAGATAGCTTGAGCCCAGGAGTTCAAGGCTGTAGTGAGCTATTATTGGCACTGCACTCCCGAGTAAAAACCTGTCTCTTTAAAAAATAATGATAATAATAAGCACAGACTCTAGAGCCAATACTTCCACCCATTGCCAAATTGCAAAACCTGTCTTTTAGCAAAGCCAGTCTACTTTAGAAAACAAGTGTGTTTCCTCTCCATTTCTTTAAATGTGGATAATACTTCCCTCAGAGGCTTTTATAAGAATTAAATGAGAAAATATATGAAGGACATTAACACAAGGACTAATCTCGGAGTTAGTGCAAAATAAAAGGTATAATTATGATTCTAATTCCTAATGTTGATTCCTTCTCCAGAGGCACTGTCAGAAAAGAGCTGTTCTCAGTGGGCCCATTTTCAGCCCCTGTACTTTTACCACATGAGCAAAAGCAGCTTTGCAGTTGCTCACGCCTCTTTATGGTATTTAACCTTCTCTGATTAACTTGATTCAAAGTGATTACCTCCTTCTGCTCCTGGTTCCTTCCTTTCCCAATTGAATGAGGGCATCCTGGCTTTGGTGCTGCCTCTTCCCACCTCTGAATAGAACAGCTCCTGGAAGAATGAAGCTGGGTGTGAGTCCTCCAAGAAAGCATAACAATGGCATTCTACATATTAATTTTAACTTTGCATTTGGAAATAATTTCAGACTTACAAAAAAGTTTCAGAAATAGAACTTTCCTGTCTACCTTTTTATCCAAATTCCCCAAATGTTAATTTCTTTCTCACATATCCATTGTATAATAATTAAATTTAGGAAAAGTACATTGATGCAATATTAGTATCTAATCTATGGCCTTAATGCAAATTTCTCCAGTTGTCCCACAAATATCCTTTTTTTCTGGTTCAGCATCCAATCCAGTATCACACAATATATTTCACTATGATGTCTCCTTGATCACCTTTAATCTGGTACATTTCCTGAGTCATTCTTTGACTTGATATGTAATATATGACTTAATACTTTTGAGGAGAACTGACCATTTTGTAGATTGTTCCTCAGTTAGTCTGATGTTTCCTCATAATTAAATTCTGGTTTTGCATTTTTAGCAAGAATATGATGAAATGATGTTGTGTCCTTCTAAATTCATTATATCAGAAGGCACATGGTGTCCATTTGTCCCATTACTGGTGATGTTAACTATGATCCCTTCATTAAGGTGCTGTCAAAGTGGAGATATTGTGGGCCTCTGTGAAGATTCTGTTTCTCATCATTTTTTTGTTGTTCACTAATTTTAGTATCTATTGAAGATGCTTGCCTGAAACAATAATTACTTTCTGGTTGCCAAATAGTGATTTCTATTTTCCTCATTTCTTTCTTAAACATTTCTTAGTTAGAATTCTACTATAGCAAAGAGATTTTCCTTCTCATTTTTCATTCATTCATATGTGTATTCCTTTATATCAGTATGAACTCATAGATACTTAACTTTAGTGTCTGATTATAATTTTTATATTCACGATTTTGTAGCTAACTTACGCTAGACATGGCCACTGAAAATCCTTTCAAGCTGGTCACTGAATCCTTTTGAAATGTTCTTACATTATTTGCTTGTTTTTCCTTCTGAAAATTGTGTGGAAGCTATGGCAGATCAGGAAAATAAAGCCTTTTTGACCTATCCCAGTGAATTTAAGCAACTCTATTGGTCGCCCTGCCCTTTCAATGACTGTAATTTAGCTGTGTCAACATGCTATTTTATGTAACCTATATGCAGGTGTTATCCAAATGGTGTTTGTGTGTATATTTGCTTTTTCAATGATTGCTATGTGATCTATCATTATTTCTTCTCTATTGGTAGTTTCTTTGAAAAATTTTGTAAGAACCCAACAACACAATTCCCCATGGCCTGTTGAGCTCTAAAACACACTTTTTCTGCATTGTCCCAGCACTGGATTCTATTTAATTAACATTTGATTTTGCATTGCAAGACCCTGATATACATTAAAAGGTCACCACCCAGTCATTTATCTTTTAAAGTAACTGGACCGGTTATTTTTTTAAAGTTCCATCAGGTTAAAATGGTTAGCAATTTTTCTCCTTGCAGTGTCCCTTCAGCCTGGACCAGACGGATAATAGATCAGTGTAGGTTCAGATGCATTACAACATTAGTCATCAATTAGGTTTAAACCAGCAGTGTAATATATCATTTATCTTGCCTGCCACAGCTCTTTTGAACATTTAATTTTTTAAGGCCTCTTAGGGTTTTTTTTTTTTCTTTCTAACTGGCCTCCTGCCTCTCTCCTTTGTCTCCAACACAGCCATGTCCTTAAGGAACAATAAAAATTAGATTTGTTTGACCTGCTCTCAGGGTTCATTTCAGCGAGATGGATTTTAATAGCTTTGACTGGTTGGGCAGACAGCTTTTATGTAATATTCCAGACATTTACGCACTGTCTTTTGCTGAGCCCTGAGCAGGTGTGTACATGAGAGGATGTGTCTGTGTGCCACTAAGGAGCTCCTTACTATTCCTTTCACATCAAATAATCCTCTGGGAAACTGCTTACTTCTAGATACGATGGGCATCTCATTAAGTGCTCAAGTCATTGGCATGCCTTTCTCCGCCTAATAACTTTGTTTTAATCTCCTGCATTCAGCATGTATTGCACTGTTAATGTGAAAGGGATGCTCTTTGCTCAATGAGGTCTTGCTGAGTTGACTTGGGTTGTGATGGGTTCTTCCTGTTTTTTCAGGTGGCTGACAACACCTTCTACATGAATATTCTGATTCAGCATTTTTCATTGCAAGGTGGATTGAGGTCATAGGGAGAGCAAGGGCTTCTTAGCCACGTTCCCCATAGCTTGAATGGTGATTCAGTCTTTATCAAATGAGCTGCTGTCTGACTTCAAGCTGGTGACCTCCTCTTCCTGTGTCTCAGTGTCCACCGTACTAGAATAATGATAATACCTCTCTTGCAATGTAGTCACCAGTTTTCAGCAAAAGTATGGAAATCTCTGGAGTGCCTGACACAACAGCAGGGATTTTTTGTTTTTAAGCAACTCTAAATTCAGGTTTGTTGTTGTTGTTGTTATTGTTGTTGTTTTGCAAGGAGTGTATAATAATATTAATTCCACAAAAATTTACTGAATATCTACTTGGTTCCTGGTACTCTTGTAGACAGGGGTAGCATCAAAACAAAGATTTTGGCCCTCATGGAGGTTAAATTCTTGAGGGACAGATCAATAGTAAATAAAGTAAATAAGTGAAATATTGGTATGTTAGATAGTACTAAGCACTAGGGAGAAAAAGATAGAGCAGGGTTGTTGAAATGGTTAAATAAGAACATATACAATGTTCCTAGCTGGTGTCTGGTACATAATCAGTAATCAATTAATGATACTTATTTATATCAATCATTTATTCATTATTTCACATTTATTCAACATTTGTTGAAATTATACTTTGGGCTAGGCACAGATGCTGTGACTCTTGTGTCTTTTGGAACTTTGAGGCATAAAATTCTCCTCCCGTCCCCTCCCCTCCCCTCCCTTTCCTTTCCCTTCCCTTCCCCTCTTCCTTCCTCCCTTTCTTTCTTTCTTCTTTCTTTCTTTTTTTCTTTCTCTCTTTCTTTCTCTCTCTCTTCCTCTTTCTTTGTTCCTTCCTTCCTTTCTTTCTTTCTTTTTTGCTTTCTTTCTTCTTTCTCTCATTGTATTCCTACTTTCTACCAGCACGTTGCTAAGTTGCTAGGATATAGAGATGAACAGAGTAGTAGGTCCCTGTCTGCAAGTTGCTCATAGTCAATGGAATCTCAGCTATGACAGAAACCAAAGAATCATGGAGACAAGAGGATAGTTCGATAGGGGCATAGAAAGAGACTGAATTTAAGAAAGGCAGGGTGGGAGAAAAAACATCAGTTTGAGAGTTCTAGCTGCTGCAGCCTTCTGGCAAAACACACTTGCAATTTCCTGATGCTTGATGGTTATGTCTGTCAATGACTCAGGCTGCTAGGTGATCTCCTCTAGTTCCTCAGCTATTTCTTTGAAGCTGGTTCAAGATCCAATAACTGGGTGAGAGCAGGCCTGGCATATAGGGAGACTCAAACCAAAAGGCTTTACTGTTAGAGAGGCCTTCAAGCTTCTGTTGGAAGAAGAGCTGTAAGCTACTGGCTGACTTGAAGTTTCTTGTGCTGGGAAAAAGATTCAATGGGGAAAATGAGGAAAATTAGCTGAGATGTTTCCATATTTTAATATATTGAGATGACCAAATTTTAATTTTGACCCTGCCAAGAATTTGTTATTTGACTGTGCGCTCTGAAAAATGTAGTGGTTGGATTAAATAAACTTCTGGCTCTGAAAATAATTCTACAGAATTAGTTAATCACTCTACACTCATTCATATAGTTGCTAACCTAACTATCCATTTACTTATTCTTTTATTCTTATTTATTTATTTTTATTCATCTGTGTTTTTGAGCATCTTCTTTCTGCTAGGCATTGTGCTGTATGCTGCATTACAATACAGTGTGGTTCTAGTAATCAAAAACTGAACAATCTGAACTGTAGTTTTTGGAGATTATTTAAATTCTCTTTGACTTTACTGGAAGACATTAAAAAATAACAACAACAACAACAACAATCCTTCCTCAGCTTTACTATACAGCATAGTAGCCCTGTGAATGAGACAGGACAAGTACAAGTCCCTTTTGTTCCCATTCCATAGAAAAGGAAATCAAGGCACTGAGAAATCTAGTGGGAATAGCAGGTACTGGCCTGGGTGCTAGTAATACAAGGTGAACAAGGACAGTGACCAACCATTTCAGTTTGCCAAAGACTGTCCCAGTTTTAAAACTGAAAGCGCAACATGCTAGAAGACCCTTCAGTCCTGTCTGCAAGGGCAGTTGGTCACTCAAGAATTCCTGTAAAATTGTTCCCACATTACAGAACACTAAGTATCATGACAGGTACATGAATAAAATCAGTAAGATTTACTGGTTTGGTTTAAAACAAATAAATATCATGTTGAAAACACTCAATTGCTTTCCCCCAGAGGCCTGAAATGTGTCTGGGGCTCTTCTTCATGAATCCCCAAGTTTAGCTGGTTATTGAATAGACAGAAGATATTTGTTTCATGAAGAAACTGGTGATGAGATAAAAACATTATATTATGACGTTAAATGGCCAATTTACATCCCTTCCCTTTACTCTCTGAGTGCTAAATGGCAAGTTCAAGGAGCAGAGACTATTCTTGGAAGGATATATTACTTTGGACATTTCTGCACTATAGTTTTACTTTAGGTAAGGTGGTTGGGGGAAAGGGGAGACAAAATTCTCTGAATGCTATGAATAAATCACATTGCATCCCATACAACTCTACACTTCTTGGAGCAGGTGGCTCCCTGCCTCTGGTTGCTTTTTAAAACATGGCATTATATTATGTCTGCTCTTTTTTTAAAAAAAACAACACCACAAAACTAATGACCAGACCAATTCATCAAATGAAGAGGGTAGTGGACTGGGGGTCAGAAAAAGCTCAGGGTTTTTATAAAATTTGAAACCTTAGGATAGTTCATTTCTCTCCTGGGGTCTCAGCATTTCCACCTGGAAAGAGGCACAGCCATGCCTGTCTCAACATCTTCCCCAACCCCTTGCAAAATGTCCTGAACTCTAGGAAGGAAGACGCAAATGACCATCACTTCATGCGAAGAGTATTCTGTTTTGATTAACAAATAATCCTGGCTGTAGTATTAAATCATGTATGACCTTAGACAGATTACTTAGCCTTTCTGGATTTCACTTTACTCATCTACAAATTGGGAGACTGTAAACCAACAACAAAGTATTGTTGTAAGGATTAGCGATAACATAAGCAAAGCTCCCTGCACAGTACAAGACCCTGGGTAAGATAAATAACACGTCTGGAGACCTTAGTTTTGGCTCCAAGATTGTCTCTGACTTCATAAGACAATTATTCCATGAAAATTATATTCACATTGATGAATCAAATACTTTCTGGAGCAAATATGATTGATTCAGTTTGTATTTTTGATTGAATTTCTGTACAGCACAGCTCGCCATTTCTGATTTTTCCCATTTTAATTTTATTATAATAAAATATTTCTTTATAAATTGTGAAAGAAATATTTTATGAATTAATCAGTACTTTTTACATGATGAACTGAGTATAGCTTCTGTCACTTCAGGTTTTCTTTTGTGAACATTAATTCTATAAAATTCTGTTTCAAATTCTATTCTTGTTTAGGAAGAGTTGATATTTTTGTTAATTGGTGGTCAATAACATTCTACTATATGTGATTTTCATCCATTATATTTTGCATCAAGTATTTCTACCAGTAGTGTTCATTAAGGATCCAAAAGTCATTGAACATAAGACTGAGAAGTAGCATCTGTGGTTTTTTAAAGCAAAGGATAGAGAGCATTACTACAGCAAGGAAGAAGTATGACGTGAGTCAGAGTCAAAGTGGTCGGGTCAAAACATCCTTCTTCATTCCCAATCTCCCTTACACTCCTTCACCGTGGACTGGGCTTTTGACATTGGCATTCACCTGATCCCCACCTGAGCTGGCTGTACTCTTTGCACACCATTATTGAAGAGAATAGACATATTAAAGATCTTTGATTCCTTGTTGCTTTCCCTGATGTCCTTCATGCTTGGAGACAGCCTCTTTTTGCTTTTTACCAGCTCATTCCAGCAGAGCTTGCACCTGAGTTTGCAAGAACCTTGTTTTAGCAAAGAAACCTTATTTTGAAAACAAATTTGTGGTGAGGAGTAAAAGACACAGTGTTGACCAAGAATCTCACATAATGTCTGACATTGTGGCCCTTAATTTATAGGAATTTGTTCTTCTATCCTTGCCTCTGGGCTTGTTCTTTTCTCAGGGAGACAATGAGGTCCAATGGAAAGGGCATGGGCTTCAGAATCAGACTGATCTGGGTTAAAATCTGAATTCTCCCGTTTTTTAGCTGTTACTGGATGAGTTATTTCATTTATCTGAGCCTCAGTTTTGTTAGTAAAGAATGGGAGAAAAATATTTTTTATATATGGGCATTGTTGCAAAAGATAAATTACAATACATGTAAAACATTCACTCAGGAACTGGGAATACATAGTCCCTGCCCACATATGGTGTAGGGAGGGACTCAGACATCAGCAAATAATAATCAAATTAATAAATTATTATAATCATGATGGCGACATTGAAAGGGTTTCTGTAAGGGCAAATAAGAAAATCTAATGTCATTGGGGCTTGGGAGTGTCACTCAAACCATGGTACACATGATGGCTATGCCACATTTTCATATATGTGTGTGTCTTAGTCTGTTTTCAAGCTGCTGATAAAGACATATCCAAGGCTGGATAATTTATAAAGAAAAAGAGGTTTAATGGACTCACAGTTCCACATAGCTGGGGAGGCCTCACAACCATGGCAGAAGGCAAAAGGCATGTGTTACATGGCAGCAGGCAAGAGAGAAAATGAGAGCCAAGCGAAAGGGTTTTCTCCCTATAAAACCATCAGATCTCATGAGACTTATTCTCTACCACGAGAACAGTGTGGAGGATACTGCCCCCATGATTCAGTTGTCTTCCACCGGGTCCCTCCCACAACACATGGGAGTTATGGGAGCTACAGTTCAAGATGAGATTTGGGTGGGAACACAGCCAAACCATATCAGTGTGTGTATGTGTTCTTGTGTATGTGTATGTGAACAGTGGATACAAGTACAGTCTTTGTAATTAGGCAGATGTGAGCTTGAATTTTGATTTTTACCACATATAAGTGAATTTTGGCAAAGTGTTTAATTTTCTAAATCTCAGTTTCTCATCTGTAAAAGGGGGTGCACAATACATCTACCACATGGGACTGTCCTAAGGATTTTCCTCCCCTTCCTCCTCATCTCTAACTTCTACTGAGTGCTTTCTGCATGCCAGGCACCATATACTCAGTGCTCTACATCCATGTAATCCCCACAGTAATCCCCTGAAATTGGGACTATTAATATCCTGAGGAAACTGGGCCAAAAAGAGGTTGGAGAACTTGCCCAAGGATATACACTCATGAGTGATAGTTAGAAAGAATTTCAACCAAAAATCTGGCTCACAAGGCCGTGTGTTTTACACAAGATACATGGAGAGAGAGCTCAATACCTGGGTGCTCTTCTCATCCTGATAATTTATCATCGTTTTTGTTTCCTCCATCAAGGGGATATAGATTTTCATTATTCCTAACCATCTGCCCAAGATCTATAGAACACAATAGGTGCTCTGTAAGTGCATTCTGAATAGATGAATGTACTGGATGTGGCAGAGGCAGTCCCGTTGTAGAGGTGGTGGGTGAGGTGGGACAGGATTAAGCACCCTCCCCCGCTGCTCCCCAGTACTTTCAGAAAGCCTTTCAGCACCCTTGATTGCTATGTGCTCTGACAAATGCATAAAATATGGTCCCTTTCTAGTTGCTTGCTCGGTCTGTTTCTGGAGAGGTGCCAGCCGTCTATTTGATCAACTTCAGGCAGCAGTGTGGTAGTCAAGGCTGAGCAGAGTGCAGCCGGCTGAGAAAATGGGTAAATATTTTATAGACCCTACGGTAAATAATGTATACATTCAGAGAAACAAGGTGAATCTTTTATAGGCCTGAGCCCCTGTTAAGTCAGCAATTAAATGCTGGTGCTGGAAGAAATAAAAGCTAGTCCTAAATCTTCCTACCTTACAGAGAGTCAAGGCCTGCACTTAATCTCTGGGCAAGAAGTTCAGTCTCTTTTCACTGATGCTGATTATTTTTTGTTTTTATTATTTTTTTTACTATTTTTTTGAGAGTCAGAGTCTTATTTTTTGAGAGACAGACTCCATTGCCCAGGCTGGAGTGCAGTGGCAGCCTCAAACTCCTGGGCCTCAAGCAATCCACCTGCCTCAATCTTCTGAGTAGCTAGGCCTACAGGTGCACATCACCATGCCTGGCTAATTTTTACATTGTTTGTAAAGACGGGGTCTCCCTGTGTTGCCAGGCAGGTCTCAAACTCCTGGCCTCAAGCAATCCTCTTGTGTTGCCTTCCCAAAGTATTGAAATTACAGGTGCAAGCCATTTCTTCTGGCCTCTGTTCACTGATGCTGAGTTGCTCAAATTTCAGTATTTTTTTCTGCAAAGAAAAGTCCTTTTCTTTATTCCAATGCTACTTGTAGTGTATATGCACAAATGTCTCTTTACTTACATTTGCATATATATATATTTATATTGAGTGTCTATGTGTAGACCTTCACATGTGAGATTTATTTTAATCCTCACAGCAATTCCAGTGAGGTGCATGTAGTAGGTACATAACAGATATTTGGTTTCCTTTGTTTGTTGAGGACCTACCTTGTGCCAAGCCCTCCCCTAGGTGGTATGGTACCATAAGCCTGGAGTGTACAATCTAATGGTAGGAGATAAATAGTAAACACGAGTTTCGCATGGAGGTAAGTGCTGGGGAGAAAAATGAAGCTGAGTAAGGGGAACAGAAAATGCCGAGCAGAAGGCTTATTGGCAGGATAACCTCGGAACAGACACTTGCAGTTTGGATGGTGGTGGTGAGCATGTTCCTATAGTTTCAAGGGATTATAGCTAATGTGTTGTTTGGCCTAATCAGGACCAAGGCATTTATTCCCTCAGCTTCTGGAAGCTGCACCCCTTCGCTGGAACTGCCCTCAACTGATGGAACTGTCTCAATCAAGTTTTGTCCCTACTTTCCAGGGGCAGTTCACATCCAATGACTGTTGATGCAGGTTTTTAAAGACCCGACCCCTTCTGTCAATGGGAATAACCCTGAGTGGGCATCCTGGGTGGCATTGAGGATCCTATCACTGATGGTATGTGAGGCCCTGATAGCCTTGGCATGCTCCAGTGGTGCAATTGTTAATTAGTGGTGAAAAGGGTAGGATACCAGTGGAAGGGAATGCAATAGTCGTTGCAATATCTCAGGCATTTAACAGGTTTGGGTGAAAGAGTAATTATAAGGACAATGGAATCGGATGTGTGTAATTAATGCATTGGAAAAATGCATAATGAAGGCTGGGGGTGATTAATCACCAGTGTATGACAAAATGTGGCAGTCAGAAGTCCTTCTTGGCAGCATATGAAGCAACACTCACTGCAGCCAGAGGATGAAAAAAACTGAGGCTCAGGCCTGGGACTTAACTATAAAGGTAGCAGAGCTCTAGAGGAGACTGGATTCTCAACCACAGTAAGCTGGCTACACCAAGGTCAGGCCCTTGATTGGGAAGGAGACTTGGGGTGAAAACATCTAGGTTAATGTAGTTAATGCACACTAAAACCTAGAAACCCCAAATGTCTCTGGATCCTCTTGGCCTGTAGAAATGGAACAATTTCCTTTTTTTTTTTTTTTTCGAGACAGAGTCTGGCTCTGTGTCCCTACTGGAGTGCAGTGGTGCGATCTCGGCTCACTGTAACCTCCGCCTCCTGGGTTCAAGCGATTCTCCTGCCTCAGCCTCTTGAGTAGCTGGGACTACAGGTGCATGCCACCATGCCTGGCTAATTTTTTGTATTTTTAGTAGAGACGGGGTTTCACCTTGTTAGCCAGGATGGTCTCAATCTCCTGACCTCATGATCCACCCGCCTCTACCTCCCAAAGTGCTGGGATTACAGGCATGAGCCATTGCCCCCGGCCGGAACACTTTTCTTTGTTAAAGGATAGTGCTCCATTTTCGCTTGAAGATAATACAGAAGCCTCTGCCTTGCAAGATGAAATCTCCCCATCCCCCATGGCCCACAAAAATCTACCTCCTCTTCTCCTTATGGCCACCAGGCCAGTAATGATTCCAGTCATAGCATAACCAAGCTGAGGAGGTGCTAGGCATGCTTAGGGAGGGAAGGTACTATATCTTAGAAAGAGTTAAAGATCTCAGACAATATGAACCAGCAGGACTGGAAGGGAACATTTAGACCTAGATCCAAAGAATGATGGATCAAGGAAAGAAGAACATAAAGTGGGAAAATGATAGCTTATTGATACGAGAATACTATACTGTTGTGCAGAATTTAATACCCTGGGAAGGACCCTAGGAGATGATACTAAGATCCTGCTATCATGGGTCTAGAAGCTTCATCCAAGTGTCAGGCAACACTAGGTAAAGTAGAAAGAACAGAACAGCCACGGAAGATGGTAGAAGAAGGATCAAAAAGAAGTGGGTATATTGGAGTGGACATAGTAAGTCAAGAAAAGCCCCCAGCCAATTATATTTTGTAGAAGGAATCAGAATATGCTCTGTTTACCAAGGCAATGGGAAGAAACACATTATTGAAAAGCTCAGCTGGCTGTTCTACGTAGGTCTGAGCTAATGGTAGGAGATGGTGTCACAGAACTTGGCTCCCTGGTAGCAATGGGGATGATAGAATCCTCAAATAACAGGTATCACTTGGTGATGCTTAACCATCAGAAGCAAAGTTGTTGTAGCAAGATCAGGAGGATCAGCCTGCAAAGAGCCATAGAAACAGTTAATAGAACACAGTATTTTTAGAAACAAGACAGATGCACAGGCAATACTTGTATTGCTCAATATGTACTCAGAATAGTCAAGGATGAATGATCAGAGTTTCTCAATCTGAGTTAATACACAGATTCAGAATCCACTGACTAAAGGAAAGGCCAGATCCTTGAGAGGAAAAAAAAAATCCCTGCAATACTAAAGAAGTGCATTTGTTAAAGATTTCCCCAGAACCTCTCCAAAGGGAACTACAATCTTTTACTTAAGTAACCATATACTGGGAACAGGGGAATATGCAGGTATTTCAGAGACTGTTGATCACAGTTATGGGTTGACATTTTCATCCAGGAATCAGAAGCATTATCAAGGCCTCCCTATTAAAGTAGGGGCATATGGAGACCACTATTGATTAAATGGAGTCCTGGCCCAGGTTCAGCTCGCAGTATGTCCACTGGGTCCATAGACCCATATGGTACCTATTTTCTTGGTCCCTGAGTGTATAATTGGAATGAGTGTAATTTGTAGTTGGCAAAATCCCCACATTGGGTTCTTGGCTTGTGGAATAAGCTATCAAAGTGGGAAAGGCTAAGTGAAAGCCTCTGAAACTAACCTCCTGTTGGCCAAGGTAGTAAATCTAAAACAATATTCTAACCCAAGAAGATAAGGAACAATAGAGAAAATTAGAGTCATCCTTGAAAACCTGAAGAAGGCCGGGGTGGCGACCTCCATCATAACCCCATTTAATTCATCAGTCTTGTCCAATGGTATGGGATTTCATTCACAAAGTCTGATATAGCTATTGCTGCTGCCAAGCGTCCAACTAGGTAGCATCAGAGACCAACCCTGATGCCTTGATATAGCATCAGTCCTTGAAAAGACCACCCAGCCACTTGGTGCTAAGTTTGAAGGGGCAGAGATTCATCTTGACTAGAATCAACACGTATTCTAAGTATAGGTTTGTCTTTTCTGCTTGTAGGTCTTTGGCCAGAACTACTATTCAAGAATTTCCAGAGTGTTTGATCCATCAACAAGGGATTTTGCATAATATCACATTACACTGAGAAACCCACTTAATAGCAAAGGAGAGAAGGCAGTGGCACATGATAGGATTCATTAGTCCTATCATATACTGTATGACTTAGAAGCTGTCACTCTGATAGAATGAAGAAGTGGCCTTTTGGAGAATTTTCTATGGTGCCATACTTCAGATGGGACCTTTGAGCATCATCTTCCAGAATGCAATGAACATGCTACATCAATAACAACTATAGGTACTATGTCCCCAGTAGGTAGAATTCATGGCTCCATTAGCCAAGGAGTAAAATTAGGAGCATCTTTCTTACCACTGCCTCTAATGATCAACTTGGAGAATTTGTGCTTTCTATCCCCCCTACTCTGGACTCTGAAGATTTGGAGGTTCTGGCTTCCAAAGGAAGAAGGTTTCCCTCCAGGTACACTTCAAGAATCCCATTAAACTTTAAGCTATCACAACCTTATGGTCACTTTGGGCGCCTTACACCAAAAGACCAGCAGGCAAGGAAAGCAGTCACAACCTTAGTCATGGTTCTTTGACTGACCATCAGTAGGAAGTAGAGCTGCTGTTACATAATGTGGGCAGCAAAGAATAGGTTGGATGACCAGAGGATTCACTGCGGCATCCTTTTGTACTCCTTGCTCAATTTTGGCATTAAGTAGATATGATGACCAGAGGCTCAGAATCCTCGCGGATGAGGGTCTGGATTACCCTTGCCCTCCCACTTAAACCATCCATATCAGCAGAGGTGCAAGAGGGTGAGGGGCATATGAAATGAGTAAGGAGAGGAAACTGATGAGTATCTGTGGCAGCTGGGAGACCAACTGCAGTGGCAGGGACTTGCTCATCCTACTCATCTTCCTCTTGTAAGCTTTCCTGGGGAAAGAAAATAATCATAATCCCAGAAGATCTGTTCCAAGTTGGGTTAAACTTATTATATAAAGCCAGTGAATCTGAGTAGTACAACTGTAGAGGATGATGTATTGTCCCTGAAGATCCCCTGTTTAGGATTGAGGCACTCATTCTGTTAGCTGGCAGGTGTCTGATGAGAATCCAAGCTGGGAAATTTTTAGAGAGGGCAGAGGCAATGGGTAGAATGCATGAAGGAGGATACGTAATGGATCTCCCAGTTCCAGTGATTCAAGGGATGTAGGAAAGGAAACAGTCACAACTTGAGGCATTTACTGAATGTTGGAAGAATCAATTCTCTCTATTTAACAAAGAAATTAAGAAAGATGAATAGGGTAGAAGGTAAGGGGTGAATCATCCAAACTCATAGAGCAGATTTGCAGTAAAGGTGAGACTTAAATTCAAAGATTTTTATTCAAGGTCATTCTGTCATCTTTGAAGGGTGTCTTTGGGCTTTTAATTCTAAGCCTTGGTTTTATAATGGAGGAAACTAAAGCTCTGGCAGACTAAATTATTTATCTGAAACTTATAATCAGGTCTTCTGACTCAGAGGCCTAGATTCTTTATTTGACACCATTTTCAATACAATTCAGCATACCTAGTTATGCATGGTATCATGGTATCTGTTTGTTTTTTTGTTTGTTTGTTTTTTTTTGTTTTTGAAATGGAGTCTCGCTGTGTTGCCCAGGCTGGAGTGCAATGGCACAATCTCAGCTCACTGCAAACTCCGCCCCCTGGGTTCAAGCTACTCTCCTGCCTCAGCCTCCCGAGTAACTGGGACTACAGGCACATGCCACCACAGCAAGCTAATTTTGTTGTATTTTTAGTAGAGATATGGTTTCACCATGTTGGCCAGGATGGTCTCAATCTCTTGTCCTCGTGATTTGCCCACCTTGGCCTCCCAAAGTGCTAGGATTATAGGTGTGAGCCACTGCGCCCGGCCTGCATGATATCTTTTGAGGAAGGTTTTCAGAAAACAGAGTGTCAAGGACTGCCAATGTCACCTTACTAGTCACCAGGTCTGTCTGACTCCCGAGGCAGGGCTCTTTCAATTGTGTCATCTTCCTCTCTATATTGACAAGAGTGACTGAGGATTCCAATCCAGGTCAGCCCATTGCAAGCAGTTGCCACAAAGTAGATGCTTAGTAAATGTTTGTCACTTGAATGAAGACAACCAACCTGACGGAAGAAGGTCAAGTGGATTTGGGGAAGAACATGATGGTCTTCTGGCTGAGAACCTGGGCTTTGACGTTAGCTAAATCTGGGTTCAAATCCAGGTTCAAAACCATTTGCCTGTTGGTTGACTTTAGATAAGTTACACTCTCTTTGAGTCCATTTCCTCATTTGTAAAATGAGGAATAGTAATATTCACCACAGAGAACTGCTTTATTATTACATGGCATCATGCATGTCAGACACTTACACAAGGATTAGCACAAAGAAGTGTTCAATCAACATGAGCTATAACTAGTTTCTCTTTGTCTTGAATCTTCACTCTCTCTTTCTATACCCTAGGTTGCCAGTGATTCTTCCTGTTTGCTCTGCTGCCAAATGAACCCAGTTTTCATATTTAGCACTAACCACTGGAATCCCATTTTCTTTCCTCCCTCACATCCACCCTCTCCCACTCACCTCTGGATCTAGGACTGGGCTCCTGCTCTAGTCATGGGATCCTTGCCATGCACCTGGCCACTCTTTTTATTAGGATCCCAGTCCAGACAAACCTGAATGTTCTGGCCATGCTTATTTAGTAGGATAATAACAATATAATTAATAGTCAACCTCTATTGAGCATTTACTCTGTGCTAGATGTTGTACTAAATGCTTGTATCTATCATCTCATTTAATCCTCATAGTAACCACAGATGTAAATTGTGTTTTAGTCTCTTACAGAGCAAGAGACTAAAGCTCTAAGAGGTTAAGTAATGTGCCCAAGGCCCACAGTTTGTAATTAGTGGAGCAAAGTCTCACACTCAGGCTGTCTGACATCAGTAACTGTACTTCCAACCCCAGTAACTGTGAATTTCTCCTGCTGCCAGCCCCAATGCCCACCCAGGGACAGATTTCTTAGTAGCTGCTGCCAACCTGTGGTCTCTGTCAGGCCTTCTGCCCTGCCGTCTCCCTTCAGAATTCTGAGAACTTACTTGCCTGATTCATGCAAATAAGTATTACCTGAAAGATGCCAGTTATTTATTTTTGTTTAATTTTTGTTCCTCCACCAGAAAGTTAGCTCTAAGCAGGCAAGGACAATGACTTGTTCTCTATTGTATCTCAAGTTTTTGGAACCAGTGGCTGACATGTAGCAGGTGCACAGTAGAGAGCTGTTGAATGATTGCCGAATGAATCTCATAGAGCTTCCTCTCACACCCTACCTTCCCAGCACCGGCCCAGCTGAAGCACGATATTCAGGCTCAGTAGCCAGGCCTGCTTTCTTGGCAGCTTCGCCTATTGGAAGCTCCCATTCTCCCTTTATGTTGCTGGGAGAAATTGATGCCTCTCTTCCCACCATCTTAGAGACCTCTAGTCTAGCAGACAAAAGCTAACTTCATAATTTAGATATATCCATTGGGACACAGAGTGATTCAGAAAGAGCCTAAGCCATGCATGAAGCACAAGGCCATTCCACCCAGCTGTCCTCTCCCAAATTATTCACTGCCATTGATGGAGCTCTTCCTAAGATGCTGGGCTAAAGGATTTATAACATTATTTCATTGAGTTCTCACTTTCAAAAATCTCAGGGAAAAAATATGTATTCCCATTTGATAGTTGAATAAATGGAAGATCAGAGAGATGTACTAACTCATCAAAGTCACACAGTAAGTGGCAGAATTGGGTTTTGAATCCATGTCTGTGTGATTCCAAAGGTAGCTCTCTTATGTATTAAGCAGAAGTTGGATACAATGTCAATAGGCTTGCCCTGGGAAAGGCCTTCTGCACCTAGAAAGCAGGGAGAGATACAACACAGGAGGAGGCCTACCCTGGTGTTGCACCATACATAGCAGCTCTTTGAAATTCGGTCTGGGGACTGCACAGGGCTCAGCATGTGGCAAGTCCAGCTGTTCTCCTCTATCACTCGTCCTGGGGGGTCCCCTGGGGTATGTTTCTTCTCTGACATTTTTGGAATATTTTAAGATTCATTCTTGAAGCATAAACTTTTTAACTCTTTTCCCATGGAAGAATTTCTTCTTCCTTATCTGCAGGCCTGCTTGGAAACTCACAGAACTTAGCTGATAAAGAGGTCACCCTTTGGTTCTTAGCCTCCTGTTCCCCCAGTAAACTGAACTTCCTGGAATCTGATAGTTTATTAGCTTGTTCTGGACACCATCAAGACTGGAAGGAACTTCATTTTTCAGAAAAGTGACTTGGCCAAAGGTGCAGACAGAGATAGTAGATCAGGTCTTTCTACTTTGAGTATCAGGTTCTTTGCAACTTCATAAATCCATGATGCCTGACTTAGTGCAGTTTACTAAAATAAACGAAGAAATTAGCCACTTTTTTTTTAGTTTGGTCAATGACACTCAAATGTTCTTGTAATGTTTTAAAAATTCTATCATTGGGGTAGAAAAGCTGGACTCAGTGGGCCCTGGATGTCCAATAAGAGAGAAAAACACCACAAGAAGAAAATTATCTGGAGGAAGAACTAATATGTAGTGCCAAAAATTTATGAATATTTTCTTCTCTGATGCTCTTATTAGCCCTGTGAGAGAGACATTATTATCTCCATCTTAAAGCTAAGGGAACTAAGGCTCAGAGAAAGTAACTAGCTTGCTAAAGTTCTCACAGCATATAACCAGGCCAGGATTCAAATCTAGATCCCTTGACCATGAAG
This sequence comes from Homo sapiens, assembly GCF_000001405.40. Taxonomy (NCBI): domain Eukaryota; kingdom Metazoa; phylum Chordata; class Mammalia; order Primates; family Hominidae; genus Homo; species Homo sapiens. Next base: position 59,223,663 of record NC_000001.11, on the reverse strand, counting down.
CTTGAGGTCTTTTCACAACTCTGCAGTCTCTATAAATAATCTGGGTTTTAAAAAAGAGTGAACTTCTCCAGAACTGAAAGGAATCCTTGCTCAGCAGCATGGGAAATGGTTTGTATTTTCTCACTAAGAAAGAAGGGGGGATAGTGATAGCAGCTGTTTACACCCCATTCCATTCCCCCCATGCCCAACCCCTCTGACATCATGGGTGTCACCCATTTCTGGAAGGCCCCACCTATAAAGGCTCCACCCAGTGGCCCAGCACCATGGAAATGAGTCCATCCTCTGATCCCAAAGCGAAGAATGAAGCCAAAGACTGCATGAATTTCAGGCCAGACATCAGAAACTAGGACCCAGAGGTAAGCTGTTGGAGGCATCCAAGAAATTCCAGTAGTTCCATCTCAGTGACTTAAGATCACAATTCCGTGGAATATTCTCTAAGTGGCTCCCCATAGCATTCAGAATAAAGTTTAAACTCTTAGTCTGGCACACAGGTCCCTCATGATCTAGTTCTTGCCGTAGTTCCTGTCTGTCCTTCTCACTCATACCTTTTCTTCAACCATAATAAACTACCACAAATTTTTCATGCCCCTTGCTCTTTTCACAAGCTGATTCTTCTGCCAAAAAGGATTTTATTCTTCTTGTCTTATTACCTCTTCTTTTCATTGTCTGGATAACACCAACCCATCTTTCAAAAACTAATTTCCCCAGCCATCACACCTCCTCTGCGAAGTCTTCCTGAAAGTCCATGTCTGGGTATGGTGCACGGCTTATCATCACAGCCATCCTCCCTTACACTTCTCTATCTGCTTGTCTGCCATCTCCCTTAGACTGTGAGTGACCCTAGAAGAGTAATGCTTTTTTTTTTTTTTTTTGAGACAGAGTCTTACTCTGTTGCCCAGGCTGGAATGCAGTGGTGCAATCTCAGCTCATTGCAACCTCCACCTCTTGGGTTGAAGCAATTCTCCTTCCTCAGTCTCCCGAGTAGCTGGGATTACAGGCATGTGCCACTATGCCTGGCTAATTTTTGTAGTTTTAGTAGAGATGGGGTTTCACCATGTTGGCCAGGCTGGTCTCAGACTCCTGACCTCAGGTGATCCTCCTGCCTCGGCCTCCCAAAGTGCTGGGATTACAGGCATGAGCCACCACGCCTGGCCCAGTGACTGCATCTTAATCCATGTCAGTATCTGCAGTGCCCAGCAAAAGCTGGTCTTAGTTATGGACAAAAGATCTAGAAGAGCTTGTGGGTGTATATCATAATCAGAGTGAAAATCCTTTTTAAATCTGGTAATACATAGCGATGGTGTGAAGCATTTATTTTTCATTTCACTATCTTCCACTTCTGAGCCCAATTCACACAGACATTTGAGGCTTTTCTTCCTCTCTGTATCTCCCCTTCTTTTTCTATACCCACTTCTTACCTCTACTTCTTTCTCTGCCTGGAATCTGAGCTTCAACCTGGAGGGGCAGCGTTAGATCTATAAAGTTTTAGGTGTATCAACACACCAAATCAGCATTTTTCCTGTCAACACTGACCAACTTTCTCAGCAACCTTCCATGGATTTTTGTGCTGTTACAGCCTGTATGTCTTTATTCTGTCTTACTAATAATCTATTCTCTGTAAAATATCAGTGGCAGGAGAAAGAAGGGAGTGAAGGGGAAGTAAAATGCTATCTTAGTCTGTTCAGGCTGCTATAACAAAATATCATAAACTAGGTGGCTTCTAAACAACAGAAATCTATTTCTCACAGTTCTAGAGTCTGGGAAGTCCAAGATCAAGGAGCCAGCAGATTCAGTATCTAGTGCAGGCTGTCTTCTGGGTTGAAGACTGCTGACTTTTGCTGTGTCCTCACATGGCAAAAGGGGCAAGACTCTCTCCTGGGCCTCTTTTACAAAAGCACTAATCCTATCCATGAAGACTCCATCCTTATGACCTAATCTTCTCCCAAAAGCCTCACCTTCTAATACCATCACCTTGGTGATTAAGATTCAGCATATAAATTTTCAGGGGACACAAAATTCAGGCCATAGCAAGTGTTATCTTCCATGTAAAGATTTCAAGTACAGATGAAGGGATGGGTGTCTGGATGGCTGAATAAATGCAGGCAGGATGTATGGTGTAACAAATGAGTGACTTGCTCCTATTCTGACCCCTGGCACCACAGTTATGATCGTGCTTCTTCTTGATTCCTAGATGTGGTCACTGTCTTGAACCCCAGGAGCCTGAACTCAAATATTGACAGGGATTCAGTTATTTGCAGAGAGTCCTATTTGGTGCTGATCACTGACCTAGGCATCCTAGTATCTCCTGATGCTGTGAATCTCTAGGCTTATCCACTTGTCAGTGCCATCCCTTCCTTGTCAAAGAATTCGCAAATGGACATCAATTCATCAACAAATAATTATTAAGTCTCAGCTAAGTGCCAGAACCTGTAACATTCTTTTTTCTAGACTATGACCTACTGTCACCATAGTCTCTCAGAGTCTCATAGTTCCACTCAGCAGACTGAACCTCCTCTAGAATTTTTAGATGCCCTATTTCCTGGCACCTGTCCACCCAGAAAGGGCCTTTCTGAAAACTGTGCTCCTCGCCGTCTGCCCAGCTTGCTGAATTTTTCCAGACCCATCCTATATGGAGTCTGGGCTGTGCAGGACAAAAAGTCCTGAGGGAGCACTTAGGAGACCCTCATGGAAGTGAGCTTAATGAAGAGGGGACAGCAATGTGAAAGGCAAGGCTTTCATCTTTCCAGGATTATGATGACAAGAGAAAGCGCAGGAGTTCAGAAAGGTAGAGAAGTATTGTGGCTATCCCTTTATTTGCTTCTTATCTTTTTTCCCCTCTCCATTCAAATACCTACTCTTATCCTGGTTTTACCTCTCAGCTTTGAATGCCTTTCCCCCACTCCTTCAGGATTCAATGTCATCTACCCCTAGAAGTCCTCCCTATGCCCCTGTATCTGATTCATGTGCCCACCCATTGTGATAGATACGGACTTCTGCATGGGCTTGTCCCGTTGCCAGGAGTGTGGTCAGCAGGCATCACAGCTGTCAGCTCCTCCAGGGTCAGCTTGAGCTACAGAAAAATGCTTTTCCTGGAATCACGCACCTGCACCCACTGGTATTGAGCAAGTCAGCGGCATGAAGGCCTAACCATTTTAGCCTGAGGAAAACTTCACCGTTGGGCAGTTAGCACTGGAGTCCCTTGCTGTGTTAGCTAAGCCTTGGTTAAGCTTGCTTCAAGGTTCAACTTCTCCTTCTGCTCAATCCTGCTTCCTTCCTCTTCCTTGCACAGGTGCTCATTACTACTAAACACTTTGTATTCCAAAATTAATCTTGGTGTCTGCTTCTTGAGACCCCAACTGTGAGATCAATCACAGACGGCATAGCATATTAGAAAAAAAGTGAGAGCTCTGGAGTGACATAAACCAGAGTTTGAATCTAGTCTCCCAACTTACTATTTGTGTGACTTTGAGCAAGTTGGTTAACTTTTCTCAGCTTCGGTTTGTTCATCTGAAAGATGGAGTTAACAGTACCTCATAGGACAGCTGTGGTGATTACATCATAAATACATCTAAAGTATTTGTACAGTAAGAATTCAGTACACATTAACTATTCTTAGTCTGTTTTATTTTCTTTGTCATAGCACATAATACACTCTATGGTAGTTATAAATTAAACTGTTTGTTTCTGTTCTTTGAAGGTAGAGACTATTTCTTATTAATTATTGCATCCTTTGCACCTAGCATAATCCTGTAGATAGCCTGCTTTCAATAAGTATTTGTTCAATAAGAAATTAGTATCCCTATTTTACAGACAAGGAATAGAGCACAGAAGTCACACTAATAGTAAATAGCAGAGCCATAATTTGAACCCAATTTTGTCTTCTTCAAAGCAAATTGTCTTGCCTTTCAAAGCTGAAGATGAAGATGGGGACTGCTCTTTATCCTGAGAGCAGTGGGGAACTACAACAAGTTTTTAATTGGGGAAATTTGTAAGGCATAAAGAGGTTACAAAGGGTGCAGGGTGGAGGCAGAGAGAGAGAGAAGCTGGGTCTGAGGTGATGGAGAATATATTAGTTGTCTATTGCTGCATAACAAATCACCCCAAATTTAGTGGACTGAAACAACAACATTCCTCCAGGCCTGGCTTATCAATGGGTGGCTTAGCTGGATCTGTCAGGGTCTGTCACAGTCTACAGTCAAGAGTTGGCTGGGGCAGCGGTCATCTCAAGGCTCAACTTGAAGAGAAGAGCCTTCCAAGCTCACATGGTTGGAGGGTTCAGTTGCTTGTTGACTATTGGCTGGAGGCCATCTTATTGTCATGTGGCTAGGTGCTCTCATGTGGCCTGAGAGCAGCTCATAATGTGATATATTCCTTGAAACAGAACTAGTGAGAAGAACCAGAGAGAGAGAGAGAGAGCATGCTAACAAGATGGAAGTCATATTCTTTTATAACCTAATGTTGGAGGTAACATTTCCTCATTTTTGCCATATTCTATTCTTTAGAAGCAAGTCTATTAGTCCAGCCCACACTCAAGGGAGGGGGATTTATACACGAGCAGAAATACGAGAGGGATATTGTGGTTTGAACTTTGTGCCTAATTCTCTAAATTCATATGTTGAAGTCCTAAACCTCAATAGCTCAGAATGTAACCTTATTTGGACATATGGTCTTTGCAGAGGTAATCAAGTTAAAACAAGGTCACTAGGGTGGGCCCTAGTCCAATATGACTGGTATCCTTACCAAAAGGGAAAATTTAGAGACAGACCTGCATACAAGGAGAACAATGCATACATATAAACAGTAAGACAGCCATCTACAAGCCATGGGGAGAGGCCTGAAACAGATTGTCCCTCACAGACCTCAGAAGGTCAACACCTTGATTTTGGATTTCTGGCCTCCAGGCTATGAGGCAATCAATTTCTATTGCGGAAGCCACTCAATTCCTGTGGGACTCTGTTGTGACAACTCTAGTAAACTAACACAAAGGGTCACTGGGAACCATTTCAGAAGCTGCCTGGGATGGTTACTTTTATGTGTCAATCTGACTGGGCCAAGAGATGCCCAAATAGCTGGTTACGCATTATTTCTGGTTGTGTCTCTGTGGATGTCTCCGAGGAAATTAGCATTTGAATTTATGGAATGAGTAAAGCAGACAGCCCTCCCCAAAGTGAGTGGGAGTCATCCAATCTATTGAGGGCCTGAATAGAACAAAAAAGTAGAAGAAGGTAGAATTTGCCTTCTGTCTGACTGACTGAGCTGAACACTGGTGTTCTCCTGCCCTTGATGCTCCTAGTTCTCAGGCCTTCAGACTTGGAATCTACACCCTTGGCTCTAAGGTTCTAGGGTCTTCAAACTATATACCACCAGCTTGCCAGAGTCTCCAGCTTACAGATGGCAGATGGTGGGATTTCTTCACCTCCATAATTGTGTGAGCTAATACCTTATACAAAATCTCTTTTCTAAGTAACAAACCTTCACTTGTACCCCCAAACCTAAAATAAAAGTTTAAAAAAATTCTCTCTCTCTCCTCTCTCACTCTCTATACACACACAGACACACACACACACATGTATACACACACACACACACACACACACACACACACATACAAATATACACATATATACCCTGTTATTTCTCTGGGGAACTCTGATACTCTGCCTATCACAGAAGACTAACATCTGACAGAAACAGCCTGATGCTGAGGAAAGGGATGATTTGGGAGATGAATACATGGAAATTTCAGGTGCTGATTGATGAGCAGAGGGAGAGGGTAAAAGGGTAAGAAAGGGTGTCTGCTGTGCCTGTCCTTATTTGGGTAATATATTGATATGATTTGGCTGTGTTCCCACCCAAATATCATCTTGAACTCCCACATGTTGTGGGAGGGACCTGTGGGAGGTAATTGAATCATGGGGGCAGGTCTTTCCCGTGCTGTTCTAGTGATAGTGAATAGGTCTCATGAGATCTGATGGCTTTATGAGGCAAAGTTTCCCTGCACAAGCTCTCTCTTTGCCTGCTTCCATCCATGTAAGATGTGACTTGCTCTTTCTTGCCTTCCACCATGATTATGAGGCTTCCCCAGCCACGTGGAACTATAAGTCCAATAAACCCTTCTTTTCTGTATAAATTACCCAGTCTCAGGTATGTCTTTATCAGCAGCATGAAAACTGACTAATACATGTATGGTCTAGGTAATCATAGTGAGAACTGAGGATTGGGTGTTAATTAAGCAGCACTTTGAATGGAATTCAAGTTGTTAAAGGCAAGGACTGCCTGTAGTTCTGATCCCACCCGAGGAAGGTGACTGCTCCCCACCATGGCAGAGTGGCCTGGCCTCTTGAAAATTGCAGTGTCTTGGGACAGGTGATAATGTTCAGATTCAGCATCAAATGTTTATAAAACTTTTAGTCTTATTGGCACTGGGGAAACAGAGGCAAATGATCTTCCTAGCTCACAGATCTAGCTAGGACCCTGAAAGCCTTCAACAACTGACTGAAGAAAGTACAGGCTCCCTAACGTGGCATGCACACAACCTGGCTCACCCTCCGTGACCCAGCTTAGGCCTAGTCCTTGCTTATGGCTTCTCCTTGTTCTCCTCCCACCGTACTTGACCTGCTCTGTCCCACTTCCCTGCATTTGCTTCCACAACCATATTGAACTACACACTTGCAAGTTCCTAAATAAGATGGACTATTTCAGGCTTCTGGGTCATGGCTGCTATTTAATTCTGCCTAGGTCTTTTCTTTTCTCTTCTCTTCTCTTCTCTTCTCTCTTCTTTCTCTTTCTTTTCTTTCTTTCTTTCTTTCTTTCCTTCTTTCTCTTTCTCTCTTTCCTTCTTTCTCTTTCTCTCTCTCTCTCCCCCCCTTACCCTCCCTCCCTTCCTGCCTCCCTCTCTCCTTCTCTTTCTTTCTTTCTTTCTTTCCTTCTTTCTTTCTTTCTTTCTTTCTTTCTTTCTCTTTCTTTCTTTCTTTCTTTCTTTCTTTCTTTCTTTCTTTCTTTCTTTCTTTCTTTGTTTTTCTTTTACAATTTTAAGAATCTGCTTGGCTAAATTCTACCTTCCCTTCACCACTAAGCTGAAATGAAATCTTCTTCTGTGAAGCCCATCTCACTCCTCTAGGTAGATTCCTTTCGTGTATTCTCTATTTTGTGGGAGAGAAATGCGTCTTAATTTTTTCTATTAGACAAGAAATCCTTTGAAGGTGAGATCATGATCTTTTTCTTTGTGTACCTCCAGAGTCCAGTACCTGGCCTAGAGTAGAGCTCAATCAAAGTTAGTTTAATGAAATGAGTGATTGAAGAAACAAGTGGGTGAACAAAATACAATTCTTACACCCATGAGAGACAGGCAAGTAAATAAGCAGTTCCATATCAAAGGGTCAAATACTTTAATAGCTAAATTCTAAATGAGCATGGAGGATAGAACATGTACATTTTGCCTGGGGAAAGTGGAGGAAAACCAGGGACAGCATCCCGGGGAAAGGGACACTTATACTGAGTCTTAAAAGAGACCATGGGTTCATGCTGTGGATGGGGGAAGGCATTTCCAGCTTAGGGACTGATGTGTGTGCAGGCATGGAGACAGAAGAGAGCTCACTGACTCATCAGGGAAGACGTGTCCTGAAACACAGTGGAACTGGGCAAGTGAAGAGCACAGACAGGTGGCAGTCACCTGCAGGATCCTGAAGGCCCGGAATACTGTCCTAAGAAAGATGATGACTCCATTGCTGAGTCATTGAATGCTGAACCTGAAGAGCCTGATGTGGCTCAGAGAGAATTTTGTTTGAGAATGGGCCATGCCAGAGGCTTATGCCATGGAGCCTGTACTCACGGCCACCTTTACTCAAGCAGACGATGGGTGGTGGGGATGACAGTGTTGGGGGTTCTCTGGACCGGCTGGCTCTGAAAAGAGAGTGGGCAGAGATGCTGAGCTGGGCATGCTTCAGCTCTCATCCCAATTCACCAATCAGATCAGGTGCTCTTCCCAGGTAGAAGCTAAAAGTCTTTTTCACACACCTGGTCCTTCTGGGAGAAGGCAGAGGTTTTCTCTCTTCTCATCCACCCTTTCCTCCACCAGGCCTGATATATAGCAAAGCCAGAATAGTAGGTTAGACAGAGTTCCTTTGGGCATATCTGCTATGGGAAACATTCTCGGACAGTTCCTCAATCAGGCCCTGGTTACCTGTCCCTGCCCTGTGCCTACACAGCTCCCTGAACTTACCTGAAACACTGGCACTTGTCTTACTGCATTGAAATGTCCCGTTGCGTTCTCTGCCTTCCACACTATACTGCAAATCCCCTGAGAGCAGAGTGTCATGAGTTGGTACACTTTTGGATGCCCAGATCTTAGTGTAGAGTCTCATGCAGGTTTGGAATAAATGACAGGATTGAATGAGTGAACACAGCTAACTTGCTTTGGTTTGTAAACTCAGGTCCTGTGCTTGGCTCTGTGAAAGTTCCTATTTCTTGCTTATTCTCTTCCTCAGTGTCACCTGTCTGGTGAGGTCAGATGCTCAGGACAAGTAAGTCCAGTGACTGTATCAGGGGGTAGGAGCTTGGGCAGGCTGATCAGGCCCAACGGCAGAGGCCCAAGGGGCCAGCTGGAATGCGCGTGATGTAACCACATCTCCAGGCCTGGTATTAGACCCTTCTAATTTGGTTTTGAAAACATGTGGTTTTGTCCTTGTTCAAATATTGATTTTAAGTAACTTGAGCCTGGCAGAAAAGGCCTCTGCCGGGGCCAGCAGAGCTGTTTGTTGCCTTAATGACATTTCTGTGTGTTTGTATAACATGAACTGGTGGTCGAGTTGTTGCTCTCAGGGAAGATTTACGGGACTTTACACTTTGGAAGATATTGAGGCAAACTGTTGATGAAGGCCTAGGGCATAAATCAGACCCACTCAGGCCAACAAAGGACACTTTGGAAACTTTGCCAACTGCCTCCTCCCCTCATATACAGTGAGGGGTTTGAATTAGGTCAGCCGGTTTTGGAGCATTTGCTCTAAATCCTTGGGTTTCACAGAGGAGTTTGGGGGAGTCAGGGAAGAGGGGTGTTTTGGGTGAAATTCTAGGCAGGCAGGGTTCCACAGACTTCCAGAACTTTGTTGGTTTCATAACTGAGGTTCTTACCAGATTTATGCAGGTAAAAATAAAATGTTTGGAAACCACAGGAGTAGAAGACTGTGACATCCCTTCCACACCTAAAACTCTAGTATTGAATTACCCTGTGTCCTAACAGGAAGCATCCCACTCAAATGAGGTTACTGAGAAGAGTTTGATGAAGGGACTATTAACAAACGTATGGATGGAATTAAGGGAAATAAACACAGGATGGTGAAGTACCAGGGGCGGGTAGCAGAGCCCTTAGAGAGCACAAGAGCTATGCTGGCGATTTGGCAGAGGACTGCCTGATGGGAGTCAAGGCCTTTGTTAGAGGAACATGGCCACTGAGAACCTGTGGCCCCACACAAGGAGACCAGGGAATACAGACCCTAACCTCTCTCTCTCTTGCCTTCAGCTCTCTTGAGGATGCCTTCCCTATGCCAAATTGGACTGGAATCCAGAAAGTTGATGTGGTGTATGGGTGGTAGGCTACTGGGCCCCACAGAGACTGAGGCTGGAGAGTGAATTTGCAGGAGTGAATGGAAACTACCCAGCCTATATCAGGAGCTTTGCAGACCACTGTGAGGTGGCAGGAGGTAGAAGGCTGTGCTTCTCCTTGACCTTCTGTCAATTGACAACCTTCATCGCAGGTCTTCAGCTACCCTGTTTCTATTTTTAATCAAATGGGAATTTGGTGAGTTCTTCAAATCTCTTCCAGCACTATGAAAAATGATTTTATGTCTACCTGAAGAGAGGAATGCTGGTTAGTAGAGTTTAAAGGGAAATAGTAAAGGATATTGACTAAGAACATGGACCTTGAGGATATACATAACTGGGTTTTGATATTGGTTCCATCTCTTAATAGCTGGGTGACTTTGAGCAAGTCCCATCACCTGTTAAGCCTTAGTTTCCAACTGGTGAAATGGAGACAATCATAATACTTTACAGTATTGTGCCAATGACAAAATGAATTTAAACATATAATGCACTTAGGATTAAACACATGGTTAGCAATCAACTGGTAGAAGCTATTATTCTCAGATGAGAGCTCACTGGAAAACACTGTCTTATACATAGCCCCAATAGAGTCTTCATCCTCTATTGATTTTTGCATGCTTATTTCTTCTTTAATCCTCTGTCTTCAAATTTTCTGGTGAAAATCCAGCAATTTGGAGGGAGTTCTCTTGGGTTAGTACAAAAAAACATTTAATGATATCACCTGCAACTCTTGAGCTGACCAGGGTACCTCAAACCTCAATGTCTGCCCTTGGGAAAATCTTATTACCTATCCAAGACTCCAGTCCTCCAGCTCAGCCATTCTTGGTCATCACAACAAACTGTGACATCTTCAGGGCATGCCAAAGTGTCCTAGAGCCCCAGATGAGCTCAGCAAGTCCTTGCTTTCTCTCCTCAGCCCTACAAGGTTCAGCCAGGGCAGGCTAGCCCCAGCTGTGCCCCCGGCACATAAAATTAAAGATCCTGTCAAAGCCAAAACAAAAAGAGTAGTGGGCATGGGTGACCTAAGGCAGTAGCTTCCTCCTCCTCATTCTACCAAATGCCATTCCCCTGGGTCCTGGGGAGACAAATGGCCAGTTCACATCTCAGCTGCTGGCCCTGATTGTAAGTCTGCACGATTTACCTTGGCTCTCACTGGCACTGAGAATGAGGTCATTGAAAGAGGGAGACAGTGCAGAAGACCTCTGGAAGGGCAGCAGTAAAACACGCTGTCAGGAGGCAGGAGAGAACCCTTGAATCATAGGGTCCTTGGCAGCTGTCTTTGAGAGGTAAATAACTTCAAAATGTACTTGCCTGGAAGATAAAATGTGTGCTTTTATGCATACCAAAGGCCATCTCCAAACTCTTTTCTCATTCAGTTTTTTTTTTAATTGAATCAATTTCCTTAAGGCTCAGAAGTATAGTGTGGTAAAAATGACCAAGAACTAAGATGGTGAGAGGAAATGTAATAGATTTTCAGAGCCAGACAGGGTCTATTGCTGGCTGGGTCATCCAGTCCATGCCTACCTCTTCCCCTCACTCCCCATGTGCCAGCCCTGCTGGGCTTCTCTTGGTTCCTCCACCCACCACCCTCTCAGAACTGAGACCTGCACCCTCTCACTTCTTTTTCTGGGAAGCTCTTCCTTGCCGTTCTTCCCTTGGCTAATTCCCTCACATTCTTCAAAATCTCAATTTTTACGGCACTTCTTCAGAATCCTTCCCTCATTCCCCATGTTGTTATTTTTTCCTCCCTGATGGCTGAAATGCAATTGCTATTCTTAGAGTCTGAGCAGCCATTTTGGACCATGAGGTAGAAGCTAAAACCTGTTGATGGCAGAATTTCGAGACAGAAAGAGCCTGGATGCCCCCTGCCCCAACGTTTTCAGAAAGCTGCCTGTCAGTTCTGATTTCTCACCTCTGGATTTCTTTTAATTGAGGTAAAATTTACATAACATAAAATTAACCATTAACCATTTCAAAGTGCACAATCCAGTGCATTTAATGTATGTACTATACTGTACAGATGTCACCTCTGTTCAATTCCAGGGTCTCTATGGATTTGCCAATGATAGACATTTCATACAAACAGAATTTTATGATATGTGACCATTTGAGTTTGTTTTCTTTTAGTTAGCATGTTTTTGAGGCTCATCCACATTATATCACATATCAGTACTTTGTTCATTTTTTATGGCTGAATAATATTCCATGGTATAAATATACCACCTTTTGATCATCCATTAATTTGTTGGACGTTTGGGTTGTTTCCACATTTTAGGTATTGTGAAATACAAACATTTGTCTACAAGTATCTCTAAATTTCTTTTATACAACACAGAAATACATTTCTATCTGTTTATCTCATTTTTATTTGTCTTTTCTGTCACCCTCAAATTATACTTTAGCTGAGACAAGGGATCTAACAATTATGATTTTAAAATTTGTATTTTCTCCTTATTTATCCCGTCTTGAAGGAAACAGTACCAAGAAGCAGAAAGACCTTTGTATCATTTTCACTCCAACACCATTTCCTGTGCTTCTTTGCACCTCAGCAATGTTATCTATAAAATGGGGATAACCAGGCCCCTGAAGGCAGAAGTGTAAGTCAGATGATCTCTCGAGGTCTCTCATATTTGATTCTTCAAAGGATGGTTTGAAAGGTTACAAGAAACAGTGTAACTTTCTTTGGAACACTCTCGCTAACTCATCCTCTTTCTCTCTTTTTGAGCTGGGTTTTTTTTGCTTTTTATCCTTGCCCTATTGCATCTCTAAAATGACATTTTTTTATAGTGCGTCTTAAATTCATTGTGTACATGTCTGTTTTCTTGGTAGAGCATACAATCTTGAAAAATAAGTCCTTTAAATGCAGCCTGCTCTTTCAAACAAATCAAGCACATAAAAAGCCACACAACAACAACAACATCAATTCCAGGTGCTTCATCTCATCCAACTTCTTGTCATTTCTAAGGCCTTCTGTTCCCTTGGGATTTGGTATCTAGGTTTTGCTATCTTTTCTAGTTCTCCTTGATGAAGATACTATTCTTTCTTTTCTTTTCTTTTCTTTTTTTTTCTTTTTTTTTTTTTTTGATTCAGGTACACTATTTTACCTTACTTTAAGTTCTGGGATACATGTGCTGAAGGTGCAGGTTTGTTACATAGGTATACACGAGGCATGGTTGTTTGCCGCACCCATCAACCCGTCATGTACATTAGGTATTTCTCCTAATGCTATCCCTCCCCTAGGCCACCACCCCCGACAGGTCCTGGTATGTGGCCTTCCCCTCCCTGTGTACATGTGTTCTCATTTTTCAACACCCACTTATGAGTGAGAACATGTGGTGTTTGGTTTTCTGTTCCTTTGTTAGTTTGCTGAGAATGATGGCTTCCAGCTTCATGAATATCCCTGCAAAGGACATGAACTCCTCCTTTTTTATGGCTGCATAGTATTTCATGGTGTTTATGTGCCACATTTTCTTTATCCAGTCTGTCATTGATGGGCATTTGTGTTGGTTCCAAGTCTTTGCTATTGCGAACAGTGCTGCAATACACATACATGTGCATGTGTCTTTATAGCAGAATGATTTATAAATCTTTGGGTATATACCCAGTGATGGGATTGCTGGGTCAAACGGTATTTCTGGTTCTAGATCCTTGAGGAATTGCCACACTGTCTTCCACAATGGTTGAACTAATTTACACTCCCACCAACAGTGTAAAACAGTTCCTATTTCTCCACATCCTTTCCAGCATCTGTTGTTTCCTGACATTTTAATGATTGTCATTCTAATTGGCATAAGATGGTATCTCATTGTGGTTTTGATTTGCATTTCTCTAATGACCAGTGATAATGAGCTTTTTTTCCATATGTTTGTTGGGCGCATAAATGTCTTCTTTTCAGAAGTGTCTGGGATGGGCACAGTGGCTCACGCCTGTAATCCCAGCACTTTGGAAAGCTGAGGTTGGCGGATCATGAGGTCAGGAGATAGAGACCATCCTGGCTAACATGGTGAAACCCCGTCTCTACTAAAAAATACAAAAAATTAGCCAGGCGTGGTGGCAGGTTCCTGTAGTCCCAGCTACTCGGGAGGCTGAGGCAGGAGAATGGCAAGAATCCAGGAGGTGGAGCTTGCAGTGAGCCAAGATCATGTCACTGCACTCCAGCCTGGGCAACAGAGCGAGACTCCATCTCAAAAAAAGTAAATAAATAAAATAAGTGTCTGTTCATATCCTCCGCCCAGTTTTTGATGGGATTGTTTGTTTTTTCTTGTAAATTTGCTTAAGTCCCTTGTGTATTCTGGATATTAGTTATTTGTCAGATGAATAGATTGCAAAAATTTTCTCCCATTCTGTAGTTTGCCTGTTCACTCTGATGATAGTTTCCTTTGCTGTGCAGAAGCTCTTTAGTTTAATGAGATCCCATTTGTCAATTTTGGCTTTTGTTGCCATTGCATTTGTTGTTTTAGTCATGAAGTCTTTGCCCATGCCTATGTCCTGAATGGTATTGCCTAGGTTTTGTTCTAGGGTTTTTATGGTTTTAGGTCTTACGTTTAAGTCTTTAATTCATCTTGAGTTAATTTTTGTATAAGGAAGTGGTCCAGTTTCAGTTTTCTGCATATGGCTAGCCAGTTTTCCCAAAACCATTTATTAAATAGGAAATCCTTTCCCCATTTCTTGTTTTTGTCAGGTTTGTCAAAGATCAGGTGGTTGTAAATGTGTGGTGTTATTTCTGAGGGCTCTGTTCTGTTCCACTGACCTATATCTCTGTTTTGGTACCAGTACCATGCTGTTTTGGTTACTGTAGCCTTGTAGTATAGTTTGAAGTCAGGTAGCGTGATACCTCCAGCTTTGTTCTTTTTGCTTAGGATTGTCTTTGCTATACAGGCTCTTTTTGGGTTCCATATGAAATTTAAAGTAGTTTTTTCTAATTCTGTGAAGAAAGTCAATGGTAGCTTGATGGGGATAGCACTGAATCTATAAATTACTTTGGGCATTATGGCCATATTCATGATATGGATTCTTCCTATCCATGAGCATGGAATGTTTTTCCATTTGTTTGTGTCCTCTCTTATTACCTTGGGCAGTGGTTTGTAGTTCTCCTTGAAGAGGTCCTTCACATCCCTTGTAAGTTGTATTCCTAGGTATTTAATTCTCTTTGTAGCAATTGTGAATGGAGTTCACTCATGATTTGGCTGTTCATCTATTATTGGTGTGTAGGAATGCTTGTGATTTTTGCACATTGATTTTGTATCCTGAGACTTTGCTGAAGTTGCTTATCAGCTTAAGGAGATTTGGGCCTGAGACGATGGGGTTTTCTAAATATACAATCATGTCATCTGCAAACAGAGACAATTTGACTTCCTGTCTTCCTATTTGAATATCCTTTATTTCTTTCTCTTGCCTGATTGCCCTGGCCAGAGCTTCCAATACTATGTTGAATAGGAGTGGTGAGAGAGGGCATCCTTGTCTTGTGCTGGTTTTCAAAGGGAATGCTTCCACCTTTTGCCCATTCAGTATGATATTGGCTATGGGTTTGTCATAAATAGCTCTTACTATTTTGAGATACATTCCATCAATACCTAGTTTATTGAGAGTTTTTAGCATGAAGGGGTGTTGAATTTTATCAAAGGCCTTTTCTGCATCTATTGAGATAATCATGTGGTTTTTGTCATTGGTTCTGTTTATGTGATGGATTATGTTTACTGATTTGCATATGCTGAACCAGCCTTGTATCCCAGGGCTGAAGCCGACTTGGTCATGGTGGATAAGCTTTTTGATGTGCTGCTGGATTTGGTTTGCCAGTATTTTATTAAGGATTTTTGCATCAATGTTCATCAGGGATATTGGCCTGAAATTTTCTTTTTTTGTTGTGTCTCTGCCAGGTTTTGGTATCAGGATGATGCAGACCTCATAAAATGTGTTAGGGAGGAGTCCTTCTTTTTCTAGTGTTTGGAATATTTTTAGAAGGAATGGTACCAGCTCTTCTTTGTACCTCTAGTAGAATTCGGCTCTGAATTTGGTTCCACTCTCCCCATCACTTTCAGGTACACCAACCAAAGGTAGGCTTGGTCTTTTCACATAGTCCCATATTTCTTGGAGGCTTTGTTCATTCCTTTTCATTCTTTTTTCTCTAATCTTGTCTTCACACTTTATTTCATTAAGTTGATCATTCATTTCTGATAATCTTTCTTCCACTTGATCGATTCGGCTACTGATAGTTGTGTATGCTTCATGAAGTTCTCGTGCTGTGTTTTTCAGCTCCATCAGGTCATTTATGTTCTTCTCTGAACTGGTTATTCTAGTTAGCAATTTCTCTAACCTTTTTTTAAGGTTCTTAGCTTCCTTGCATTGGGTTAGAACATGCTTCTTTAGCTTGGAGGAGTTTGTTATTGCCCTCCTTCTGAAGCCTACTTCTGCCAATTCGTCAAACCCATTCTCTGTCAAGTTTTGTTCCCTTGCTGGCAACGAGTTGTGATCCTTTGGAGGAGAAGAGGCATTCTTGTTTTTGGAATTTTCAGCCTTTTTATGCTGGTTTTTCCTCATCTTCGCGCATTTATCTACCTTTGGTCTTTGATGTTGGTTACCTTCAGATGGGGTTTTCATGTGGTCGTTCTTTTTGGTGATGTTGATGCTATTCCTTTCTGTTTGTTAGTTTTCCTTCTAACAGTCAGGCAGACCCCTCTGCTACAGGTCTGCTCGAGTTTGCTGGAGGTCCACTCTAGACCCTGCTTACCTGGATATCACCAGGGGAGGCTGCAGAACCCCAAAGATTGCAGCCTGTTCCTTCCTCTGGAAGCTTCGTCCCAGAGGGACTTGTGCTAGATGCCAGCCGGAGCTCTCCTGTATCATGTGTCTCTCGACCCGTGCTGGGAGTTGTCCCCCAGTCAGGAGACACGAAGGTCAGGGACCCACTCGAGGAGGCCGTCTGTCCCTTAGCACAACTCAAGTGCTGTGCTGGGAGATCCGCTGCTTTCTTCAGAGCCAGCAGGCAGGAACGTTTAAGTCTGCTGAACCTGCGCCCACAGCTGCCCCTTCCCCCAGGTGCTCTGTCCCAGGGAGATGGGAATTTTATCTAAAAGCCCCTGACTGGGGCTTCTGCCTTTCTTTCAGAGATGTCCTGCCCAGAGAGGAGGAATCTAGAGAGGCAGTCTGGCTACAGTGGCTTTGCTGAGCTGTGGTGGGCTCCTCCCAGTTCGAACTTCCTGGTGGCTTTGTTTACACTGTGCGGGGAAAACTGCTACTCAAGTCTCAGTAATGCCAGACGCCCCTTCCCCCACCAATCTCAAGGGTCCCATGTTGACTTCAGACTGCTGTGCTGGCAGCAAGAATTTCAAGCCAGTGGATCTTAGCTTGCTCGGCTCTGTGGGGCTGGGATCTGCTGAGCTAGACCTCTTGGCTCCCTGGCTTCAGCCCCCTTTCCAGGGCAGTGAAAGGTTCTGTCTCACAGGCATTCCAGGTGCCACTGGGGTATGAAAAAAAAAAAAAACCCTGCAGCTAGCTTGGTGTCTGCCCAAAGGGCCACCCAGTTTTGTGCTTGAAACCCACGGCCCTGGTGGTGTAGGCACCGAGGGAATCTCCTGGTCTGCAGGTTGCTAAGACCATGGGAAAAGCGTAGTATCTGGGCCAGAATGCACCTGTCCTCACCGCACAGTCCCTCATGGCTTCCCTTGGCTAGGGGAGGGAGTTCCCCAACCCTTGTGCTTCCCAGGTGAGGCAACGCCCCACCCTGCTTTGGCTCGCCCTCCATGGGCTGCACCCACTGTCTAACCAGTTGCAATGAGATGAGCCGAGTACCTCAGTTGGAAATGCAGAAATCACCCACCTTCTGCACTGATCTTGCTGGGAGCTGCAGACCGGAGCTGTTCCTATTCGGCCATGTTGCCAGCCACTCCTGAAGATACGATTCTTTCATTTGCCAATCTTGTCCTCACCCAAGTCCATCTGACCACCTGAGCCATAATTGTGGTTTAGAGCCATACCATACAGTAGCTGTGGACCTATGGCACTCTTAATGTCTAGTCCAGCCTTTGCCTTATTCCTAGCATTCCAGAAGAAGAGAGTTCAGAAAGGTTCTTGGTCATAGGTACTCAGAATATATTTATTGCATGAAGTGATTCCTAAAATAAAGACTTCAGTTCATCGAAGTCTTTTACCAAGGAATAAAACCTAGAGACAAAACTCATTCTTGGTCTTGGTAGAATCTGGGTTGAAGATGGAATGGAAAACAATTCGTGGAATTGTTTAGCGTAAGTCTGAAAATATATTTCTAGTCCCCTTATTTCTCCCTAAATTAGTCATCTTCCCCTCTCCTCCAAAATTAGCCAATTCTTGGTATATACAAATGATATGTTAAACTTGAACTTTTAAAGTTAATAATATCTAATTAATATATAAAAGTTATCACATGCCAGGTACTGTGCAAATTCCTTTACACAGATCACCTCATTTATCCTTGCAAAATTCTATCAGGTAGATCATACAATTATTTTTATTTTATATGGGAGAACACTAAAGCCTCTCAGATTAAATAACTTGTCAAAAGTCTTACAACTAGCAAGGGTTTCACTCAGGTCATCTAATTTCAATCTGTTTACACAACCACTCTGCCATACTCAAGATGAAGTGCAAATATATGCATATATTTCCATACATCCATTCATTTATTTTTTGAGTATTTCTGCTAGGTCTCTTGGTTGGGATAAAGAGATAACTAAGATGGGGTTCTCTTCAAGGCATGATAATATAAAGAATTTCAACATTATTTCTGACATGCTTCAATAGTCCCTTCCTGATTCTCAGCTTCCATCTCGAGATTTTTTTAAATGATGAGATCCTTCTGAGACTCTCCATCTCTTTAATAATCAAAGGAAAGTTCATTAAGGGTGCATAATGGAACTCCAAGATATCAAGTCCTAATCTGTGGGACCTGTAAGTTACCTTGTTAGCAAAGACTTTGTAGATTTAAGTTAAGGGTCTTGAGATGAGGAGTTAGTTCTGGATCACCCAGATTGGTCCTAAATGAAATCACAATTGTCTTTATATGGGAGAGGCAGAAGGAGACTTGACTACACACAGAAGAGAAAACAGCTTGAACATGGAGATAGAGGTCAAAGTGATGCAGCCACAAGCCAAGAAATGCTGGCAGCCACCAGAAGCTGGGAAAGGCAAGGCACAGATTTTCCCCTAGAGTATCTGGGAAGACACTCTCATTTTGGACTAGTGAAACTGATTTCTGGTCTCCAGAACAATGAGAGAATACATTTCTATTGTTTTAAACCAACAAGTTTGTGGTAATTTGTTACAGCAGCCACAGGAAACTAACAAACCAAGTTATTATACTTTCCTGTTTTGATGAATCCTGGAATCATTAGAATTCAGGACAAATATGAAACACACAAAACAGGAAATTGAGTTTCAGAAAAATAAATGGACTTGCCCAGGGTCACACAGCTAGCAGGCAGGGGAACTATTAAAACCTATTTCTAACTCTTGAGCTTTGCTAATCACTTTACAGTTTATAACCACGTTGACATAATATCTCTTTTTATTTTCATAGGAACCCAGAACAATTTTCTTTTTTCTTCTTTTTTGATAGATAGGCAATGTTTATCATTGCCTTAGTTTACAATAGAGAGTGAGTGAGGAGCTAGGATTGGAGGCCAGACTGGGTCCTTGGATTCCCTGCCTCTGTAATCACATCCTCTGGCCTGGGATGGATTCAAATGCTGGATGAGGAGGTCTTGTCATGAGCCTCCTGCCAGCCTGGCTGCAGGCAGTTTCAGCTTATCAGTCTGACCTTTGGTTTTCCATGGCAAACCCCTCTGTAGAGGAAACTGCCAACAGGCGGCCCAGGCACTGGCTCTATAAGACTGTATTGTCCTTATTTAGAATTGCTTTCATTTAAACCAGACTTGGTCTTGCAAAACATGTTTATTCTGGTTTCCTCTTCCTCCTGGCTGCCTGACCAGTGTAAGCCCATAGCACAGCAGCTCCAGCTCTTAAACCTGGGCCAGCAGAGCAATGCTAGGAGGAAGACAGGAGGCTCTGGAGAAAGGACACAGGAAGGCATGATTTCCCTTCTTAAGTTGTGCACCAGATGGGATGCACACCCTCTCTGGTGGTGGTGTGTGACCCTTGGGGAGAATGTAGCCATTCAGAACACACCTTGCTGAGACTGACCTCAACTTAAAGAGCACAAAAAACTCAGGAGTAGAGCCTTTTTGAAATTCCAACAGTTATAGACTAACAACAATAATGATGATGACAGTTTTAATAATATAGCAATTTCCTTTTATTAAACACCTACTGTAAACCAAGCACAATGTCAAATCACCTATGTAGTTTATTTCATTTTATTCTCAGAACAGTCATATTAGATAGGTACCTTTTATTAATCCTGCTTTATAGATGAGGAAACTGAGAAAGGTCAAGGTCATACAGCTAGTCAGCCACAGGAGTTGAGATTTGAAGCCAGGTTTGCTTGGGTCAAGAGCGGAGACTGTTCTCATACAACACTCTTCCTTAGGGACCCTCTGTTCTCAGCCCCCTGAACAGTGAGGTTCAGAGAAGGGAGTGATTTGTCCAAGGTCAGCTCCTAGCAGGGCCTCTTTTCCAGGATTCCAGGACAGGGTTCTTTCTAATAGGTTACCCCAGTATGATCTGGAATTTTAAAAAGAAGTAAAAGCAGTTGAAGACCACCCACTTGCTATAATTTGAAAGGCTTGTTCTCCCCTCCCTTCATCTCTTTGAATCCTGCTTCACAGACATTGTTGTCTTTGGGACCAATACATTTCTTCTATCTGCATATCTGGGTAGAAGCTCTCATGGAAGAAAAAAGAAAAGCCCCATAGGTGAAGGGGAGTGTGCCTGCCAAGTTCCTTGTAATAACTTCACACGCAGAGTATTTTCTGAAATGGATCTGCTAGAGTCATCTCATGGAATCTTCTCATTCTTCTGGAGTCTCCTCATTTTACAGGTGAGTAAAGTGAAGTTCAGAGGCAATAAGTCATTTGTCCAAGGCAAACAGCTTAGAAAGTGGTAGGCTGGTCCTTGAATCCTAGTCATCTGGCTGCCCAGGGGAAGTGCAGAAAAATGGTGTATACCAGCTGGGCTTCTTCCTAGCCAGAGAACTCGCCTGGCCATCATTCTGCTTTTTCACCTTTTGAAAATGGGAAACTGTTGAAATTACTGATTTTGCTTTGAGGAAAAAGGGTGGGAAAAGGGAGATTCTCAAGTGCATTTTCTTGGTAGTAGGGGAAGGGGTGGTAGATGGGGAGGAAAGCAACCCAAAAAACAATCAGCAAAAACAACAAAAAATACTTTTCCTCTCAAGTCACTCTCTCATGGGACCTAGAGCACATATTTCCAAATAACCTTTCTAAAACCTGTGCCATGCACAGATGGGAGTAGTCTTCTTTCCAATGACTGGCCCCTTGTTGAGTTCAGGGGCAGATGTTAACATCTGCATGAAGAGTGGGATCAGCAATTAAAAGGGGTGGGTGAGTGGGTGGGTGGGGGACCAGGGAGTAATCCTTCCCTGCGCAGTGGATTAAGGAGGGCAGCTCCTTTGGGGGCTGGCCAGAGCCTGTCCATTGAGTAGCTAGTTTCCTTTTCCTCCCCCTATGGTTTCTGCCTCACTCTTGTTCTAATTACCCACTGTTTATGTCCTTCCCTCCAGGGCTGTTGTAGTTTTTGACAAGGTTCACAACTGGCTTATCAAAGGTAGTTATGATACCAGTTTAATGAGGATGAAAGGATTATAGTCAAAATTTTCTGTGCTCCCTTTAATTTTTCATTTCCTATGTATCCAATGGCAAAGAGTATGATCAGCACTCTCTTCCCAGCATAGTCATATAGCCATAGTCCTTTTGCTAAAACTAAGCCTCAATTTTCTCATCTATATAATAGTCATGATAATCTTTGCCTTTCCTATCTCATGTGCTATTGAAGATCAAAGAAACATGGAAACTAAAAATTCTAAAGTGTTAGATTATTGGGCAGACTATGATATATGGAAATTTTCTTTCCCTTCATGGAAAAAATCCTGAATATGAATTTGCTTAGAAAATTGTTTCTACCCAGGATCTCTGTTCTGCTTCTTAAAGAAGACCGTGAAGGTGGGTGTGGGGTTGATTGGTAGGAAGGTACTTCCCCAGTTGAATCAAAGCTCAATTTCGAATCTTCCAGCTGCCATTTGCTAGCTGTGTGATACAAAACAAACCACCCACTCTTTCTAAAGCTCAGTTTTCCAATCTGTAAAGTGGGACTCCAATGCCCACCTCACAGGGCTTTTGTGAAACTTAAAAAATAAAAATGGCTGCCAAAACTGAGCATTTGTTTTGTATCAGCTATTTGACCTCAGCACACACAGTGTCCTGGTAATCTATGTTTTATTAGACTTTCTTTAGAGTTAGAAAAATTGAGGCTAAGTGAAGTTAACCAACTTGCCTGAAATCATGAAGTAAAAAGAGCTAGAATTCTAATTCAAATCTATTCATTTCAAAATCTGGGAACTTTCCATTCTCTCACTTTACCTTTCAGTAGTATATGTGGAAATACTTTAAAACAGCAAAGAAATTGCAGAACTATTTGCTTCATGACCAAATACTTACTAAGAATATATTATGTTGAGGCCCTGGGATGCAGTCTAGTGACAGAGCCCATGGGTTCAGTATTTCCATCC
The DNA here is from genome assembly GCF_000001405.40 of Homo sapiens. NCBI lineage: Eukaryota > Metazoa > Chordata > Mammalia > Primates > Hominidae > Homo > Homo sapiens. The sequence goes on along the minus strand of NC_000001.11, from coordinate 59,201,387 downwards.
TTTGGGCTCCAGTTTTCCCATCTGTAGAATAAGAAAAGACTCTCTTAGACCATTTTTAAAGTCCAATTTTGCTCAGCTTGAACTTTCTAAAAATACATATTTGAAGGTTTTTTAAAAGTAATGAGTTAAAGTAAAAATTGGGCAGAGTGAACTGATATTCATTGTGTGTATGGTATGCCATGTGCTTTGTGGTTGGTAGTATCCACAGATGACTGCTCCCAGTTCCTACATCAAGAGGTGAAGTTAACTTAAGTCTTCCCTTTGACTCTGGGCTGGCTTCAGTGACTTACCTGACCACCAGAACGTGGGAAAAATAATGATCTGTGAGCCAGGGCAAGCTCACAAGAAGCTGAAGCTTTCGTGTGGGTCTTTGTAATACTATTCCTTGGAACTCAGCCCCAGTGCTTTGGGCAACCCAATCCATGACACATAGAATGGCCATGTTTAAGTGCCTCAGTTCGTAGGCCTTGCTGATCTCCCGGCTGGCACCAACTGCCAGCCAGATGAGTGCACCATCTTGGACATGTAGCTCAGTTGAGCCTTCAGATGACTTCAGCCCCAGCCAACATCTGACTGCAACTACCTGAGAGACTCTAAGCAAGCACTGCCTGGCTGAGCTCAGCCAACCCACAAAACTGTGAGAGCTAATCATTCATTGTTGTTTTCAGCCACTAAATGTTAGGGTGGTTTGATAGGCAGCAGCAGATAATAGAAACATACATCACTTAATTACCACAATAAAATTTGTATTTTCAGCCTATTTTATGGAAAGAACACCTGAAAGTCAGAAAGGTTAGCTTGTCTCAAAGTCACATGGAAGGTGGCAAAACTGTATTCAGAAATTGAATCTATTTGATTCCAAATCCTGAATTTTTAACCTTCGTTACCAAAAGATCCTTTTGTTCATTTAGTTGTTTATTAGTAAAGCCATTAAATTGTGGTAGACAACTGAACCTAGACGCTGATATATATAATAATAACATTTGGGGGGAATTACAAAATCATAGCTCTAACTTTCCTTTATTCTGTGTTATCTACAAGATTTTAATGATATTTGATTATGACCTGTAAAGCTAGGATTATTATTCTACATTCAGTGCTATTTTGGCCAAATTGCTGGGCCAAGTCTTGTGAAGTATTTACACATCAATCAAAGTGCAAACTCCTTTCATCTCTCCCCAGTATGGTTGTCCCTGTCGCCAAACATGCAGATATCTCTGCCACCTGCTGCCTTCATTGCACCTGTTCCCTAAACCCTGAGAACTGGTCCTTTTATTCAAAACTCATTCCACAAATAACCAAGTATTGATTCTGGGCAGGCACTCTTCTTGGTACTGCAGACCCAGAAGCTGGAATCCAGACTATACACAAGTAAACAAACAGCCCTAACCCAAAGTAACGATGGAGAGGTGAGGCCTGGAGGTATTTGTTCATCTGCTCCTGATGACCTGTTGAAACACATTCCTTTCCATTTCCCTCCACTACACTGAGCAGACACTGAGCTACTTGTAAGTCTCTGACCATGCCATGCTGTTTCTCACCTTTGCCTTTGCTCATGCTATTTTTTTCCATGCTTCTTCACCTTGAAAGTCTCTATGTAGTTTTGCTACGCTTATCAGCAAACTTACCAAATTGCCCTGTGATTGTCTGCTACTTTGTGTATCTCGCCTCTTAGACTGAGTTCCTTCAAAGCAAGGATTATCTTTTTTCATTTTATTTTCCCTGCTACTTATTTTTAAAACAATAGATCAAATTTATAGCACGTAATGACCATGAATAAAAACAATAAAGCTAGATTAAAGAATACAAGACCTTTAGATCAGGTGTCACCCAGAGCACTCAATTTTCTTCTGCATTTTGTTTTGGTGGTTCAGTTTGAAAAACCTGAATTGCCCAGATGAGCAGTTACAAGACAGCTTTTAAAGAGCGGGCCTTTCAATCTCAGGAGAGTGCAGTTCACTGAGAGGGCAGGCAAATGCTCATTCAGAAGGTCGCATATAAACAACCTGGTAGCACATGAAATCATTAGATAACAATCATGCAATCAAAGAAATAAACAAGATAAGCACATGTTGTGTTTTATGTTGAAAAGGATAGAAAGAGGGTGGTGTTTTAGAGAGTAACTGGGACACAGAGAGAAAAGGAAGCTTTGGATAGGATACTGGGGAAAGCATCTTTGAAAAGGTGATATTTGAAGAGAAGAGTGTGAATAATTCAGGTATACAAAGGGCTGAAGGAAGAACATTCTGGGTAAGGTATGTGCAAAGGCCCCAGAGCAGAAAAGAGTATGGGATTCTATATGCACTTTCCCTTTAGAAAACCAAACCAGGGACTTCACATAAACCCAACTATCCTCAGTTGTCTCTTACAGATGCCTAACCTCTTTTCTCAAACAAGTGTCACTTGAGCAAAACTTGGGAGGTACTTGGCCCCATTTTATAGCTGAGGAATAGAATTAGAATGTGATGGTTACATGCAGCTGGTTATTGACAGGGCCATAATGAGGTCTCAGCAACACTCTGACTTCAAGTCCAAGAGTCCTAACCACTGCATGTCTGTACAACCCCATGCTGAGAAAGCAGAGTCATTCCTAAAACTAAACCTTCTTCCATAAGAAATCAGGGACTTCGTGCCAGGGCAGGATTTATGACCTAGTAACTGAGGACAGAAATAAGTGGTTGCATTACTGCCTGGCAACCTGAGTCTGGGCTCCACTCCGGAGGGGCGGCACAGATTGAAATAGCTGAGGCAAGTTTACTTTTCCCTGTCCAGGTGCTCTCCTGCCGCCAACACAGCCCTAATGAGCTCTGCATATTCAAAACACAAGTAATTGATAGTCCAATTTAAAGTGTGCAGAGGCCAAATTTCTTTCCAGACGCTGAAGGAAAAACACCAGCTGAGGAAGAATGAAGAACTGCCTGTTCTAAGTTATTCTCCTTCTGTGGTCATTCGAGCACCAGGAAGACCAGGTTTGCCCCATCAAGTACCTCAAGAAAGAAGTCAATTACCTAAAGAAGTCAAGCAAAGAGGAAAGGACAAAATGAAAATCATGTACCAGGGTACACGTCGAGGCTCCAAGCTGGAATGAATATGGCCTTCAACATACTCTTTATCATACAGAAGCTTGTGTTCAGGGCTTGGATTTTGAAGTCAGACAGACCTGGATTAAAAACCAATTCAACTACCTATTACATATGTGACCTAGGTAAGATCTAACCTCTCTGTGCCTCAGTCTACTCCTTTGCTAAATGGGCATTAGGAGCACAGATTTTGAGGCAGTCAGTGTTGGATTTCAACCTCAGCTCCACTACTGACTGTGTCAAAAGGGCAAGTTAATGAACCTCCAATGTTAATTTCTTCTTCTCTAGAGAGGAAGTGATTACATAGGTCCATTGAAGGACTGTTTGGGGGGCTGGTTGAGATAAGATATAAAATGCACATGCACAGTGCTCAGGAAAATTTTTGTGAACTTCTTACATATCTCCTCTTAAGCTCCAGGACAGTGGCTCTCAAAGTGTGGTCCCTGGACCAGCAGCATCAGCTTTATCTGGGGAACTGTGAGAAATGTAGATTCTCAGGTCCCACCCCAGACTCACTGAATCAGAAACTCTGAGGGTGGTCCCAGCACTCTGTTTTAACAAGCCCTCCAAGAGATTATGGTGGATGCTAAAATTTGAGAATCTCTGCTCTTGGGGCTAGTTCAGAATGCACCTGAGACTTGGCCGGGTGCGGTGGCTCATGCCTGTAATCCCAGCACTTTGGGAGGCCGAGGTGGGCGGATCACGAGATCAGGAGTTCGAGACCAGCCTGGCCAACATGATGAAACCCCGTCTCTACTAAAAATACAAAAATTAGCTGGGCATGGTGGAGGGCGCCTGTAGTCCCAGCTACTTGGGAGGCTGAGGCAGGAGAATCGCTTGAACCCAGGAGGTGGAGGTTGCAGTGAGCCGAGATCGTGCCATTGCACTCCAGCCTGGGGGACAAGAGCCAGACTCCGTCTCAAAAAATTAAAAAAAACAAAGAATGCACCTGAGACTTTCAGTCCACACACAACTGCTGTGGGTTCCCAAGAACCTGTTCAGTGCCATGATTCTTTGAAGTGAGTTCTCCGCTCATTGTTTTCTGCACCCAAACGGAAGAAATACTTCAATTCTCAGGATTTCCCTCTGACACTAGGTAACATCTTCTATATGCTTCCTTTACTCCAGGCATTCTGATAATAGTTTCACATAGATTATTTCAATTTATCTCTGCAGTAGCCCTCTATGATAGATACTATTATCACTGTTTTGCAGATAAGGAAACTAAAGCTTCATGAGGTGAAATCAATTGCCCAAAGATCTATAATTCTTAAGTGGTGAAGCCAGGATTCATGCCTCTAATATTAAGTCCCTTTCTGGAATCAATGTACTTTCTACCTCATCATACTACCTCTTTATACCAGGATGAATCAGGGATGTCTAGTTTGGTGAAGAGAAGCATCCAGGGAGCAAGTGAAAAGTGTCTTCATGTATTGTAGGGCTATTATGATCATAGGAGTCAACCAGTTTGATGTTCCAACTGCAGAATATAGAACCAGTGGGTGGAAACACAGGGAGACAGATTGTGGCTTGACAGAGAGAATAAGTCAGTAATAGTCTAAATTGCCCAGAACTGTCTTACCTTATGAGGTAGTAAGGTCTCTGTCACTGGGGATGTGAGCACAAGCTGGGTGAGAATCTGTCAAAATGTCATAGAAGAAGGATTGGTACCTTCCCTCTGATGATGCTTTAACTGAGTGGAAGTAAGTACGCAATCATCTCTCTTGGGTGGCTTTTTTTTTTTTTTTTTTTTTTGATGGAGTCTTGCTCTGTCACCCAGGCTGGACTGCACTGGCATGATCTCAGCTCACTGCAACCTCTGCCTTCAGGATTCAAGAGGTTCTCCTGCCTCAGCCTCTCGAGTAGCTGGGCTTACAGGCACCCGCCACCACATTCAGCTAATTTTTGTGTTATTAGTAGAGACAGTTTTGCCATCTTGGCCAGGCTGGTTTCAAACTCCTAACCTTAAGTGATCCTCCTGCCTTGACCTCCCAAAGTGCTGGGATTACAGGCATGAGCCACTGTGCCCAGCCTGACTTTTGATGTTTGTTAAGAAACCGGAGATATTTCACTTGCACGGAAAGAAGACTGAAGTGAGCTCTCTGGTTTAGGGAAGAGATAATCCACCTTACCATGGCCCCAGTGAGCTACATTAGGACCTTCCCTGGTCCTGTTAGCTGGAAGGGATTTTGCTTTCCTCTGCACACCCATATGATGTCATACTGATACCTCTCTTAACACTGAGCCCTGTCCCCACTCTAGGTAAGCTGTTTATAAATGGCTAGATTTCTTCTGCTAGGGAAGCAGCAAGACATGTATACATAGAGGCTAATAGACCCGAGGGATCATCCACAATACTGTTAACCTTTCTGGGTCTCAGTTTCCTTATCTATTTAAAAACTTCCTTATTGAGATTTGAAGCATTCAAGGAGCCTGGAATATGGCGTACCACATCCCCACCCCTCTCCAACCCTCTACAAATCGTAACATGTCTTTGGGGAGGGTGCATTTCTGATTAATCAAGATATCCTTTCTACTGCTCCCCACTAACCTCTAATCCCTGCCTTCCCATCAAAATGTAGATTTTCAGTATGTGGCACATGATTGGCTCTTATATTAGTCAAAAAATGAAAGGGAAAGAAAGAAGTGAAAAAAAGAAAGAGAAAAAGGAAGGAAGAAATGAAGGAAGGAAAGAAGGAAGAGAGGGAGGAAGGGAGAGAAGAAAGAAAGGGAGAAAGCAATTTAACACATGAATGCTCCATCCTACTTGCTACTGACAATCAGATAAGCACTCCATCTGGGTGGACATTTTTCTTGGACACACCATGGTTCGTGTGTGTGTGTGTGTGTGTGTGTGTGTGTATGTGTGCTTATGCACTTGGATGGAATTGTCCACAACATGCTATAGTATGAAGATATCTATGGGAGAAGAGAGTCAACAGGAAAGAATGACTTGAACTAATCTCTCTACAGGCAACTAATTGCAGTTCTGTGGCTATTTGGGGTCATTGTTCACTGTGGGATGAATGTGGCCTCCAGATGAATGTGAAACAAGCCTCATACTTGCTGATCTCCATCTTGAACCACTTTGATAGGAGCAGAATGTTTCAGGTGCAGATTCTAGAAGACTTAAAAGCAGGTCTGTTTTTAAATACACCACATATTGAACTTTCCCCACTATGGGAGGCAGGCCAAGTAGTGGGTTTTGAAGGTTTTAAAGGCTCACTGGCCCTTCAAAAAATGGCTGTTGTGGACATATGGTTTTAGAAGCTTTTAAAAAAGCCTTGTGGGCTTATTTTTAGAACAAACCTTAACCTTGTAAAGTTTCTTAAAGGAGTCACAGAGGACCCAATCACTTGCGCCCCCTCAGAGCACCAGGCAGCTGTTCCCAGAGGCTTCCAAAACAGCCTTTCCTTGTGCTTGATGTGACCCTATCTTAGCTCAGCCTAAGATATGCTACCTCATGAGAGGGTGTGTCTTTGGAGCGGGAAGAGCTGGGCCACAGGTGAGTCAGCCAAGGAGGCAGAGTTTGCTGGCCAGTGAGTGGAGACTAGAGGATCACAGACTAACAGAATTTCAAATACTCTTCTGAAGTAAAGGAACCTCAAAAGTCATCCAGTCAACCCTGATTGGATGCTAAAATCTCCCCTGAAACACACTTGTAAAGAGATGGGACCATTTGTGTTTGCACACCTCCAGCTATGAGAAGAACGCTGTCTAGGCATTCATTCATTCAACACATTTTTAGTTGATTGAATATACATTATGTGCTCAGCAGTATTCAAAATCCTGAGGATATAACAGTGAGTAAAAAATAGATGCAGTCTCAATACAGACTAAAAACTAGTAGGAAAAACAAATGGGTCAAATGATCACACCTATACCTAACTGTAAATGAAAAAAATATTATTAGAACAATCCAAAGATTTATGAAAGCCTCTGACAGGATCTGAAGGATGTGTGAATGTTAACAAGGCAAAAGGAAGTCAAGAGAGGACACAGAGGGCCAAGCAAACATCTCTGCAGAGGCCTTCAGGCAGGGAAAAGCGTGGCATTTTAGGATAAATAAAAGTAGTCCAAGTGTTGATAGAAAGTGAGGAAAGACCTTGTTTGAGACTAAGAGCATGCAAGGGGCAGAGCATGCATGACCTTGTTGGCCATGCTGAGGATTTTGATCTTTAACCTGACACATATTGGAAGCCTCTGACTCCTTCAAAGCGGAGGACAGGTAACTCATTACAGAGCTGCCAGTTCATTCTCATGTTGCGAAGTGTGGTGGTCTTAAATCAAGACCATAATTCTCCTCCTTTTAAAAGGCAAAACCTAGTTTCCCTCCCATGAATGTGGGTCAGACTTAGAGATTTATTTCTAATTAATAAAATGTGGTGGAAGTGATGCTATGTGACTTCTGAGGTTAGGTCATAAAAAGGATAGCTTCCACCTGGCACTGTTTCTCTTCAGTTGCTTGCTCTGGGGGAAGTCAGCCTCCATGCTGTGAGGAAACAAGTAAACTATGGAGAAGCCTACATGGAGAGGAACCAAGGCCTCCTTCCTACAACCAGCACCAAACTGCCAGCCATATCAATTGGAAGCAGATCCTCCAGCCCCAGTCAAGCCTTCAGATGACTGTAGACCTGACTGATATCTCAGCTGTCGCCTCATGACAAACCCCAAGCCAGAACCACCTGGCTAAGCTGCTCTTGAATTTCTGACTCACAGCAGCTGTGAGATAATAAATGTTTATGGTTGTTTTGAATTATTGACATTAGATAACTTGGTAAGCAGCTAAGGTACCTAACAAGGAATCGCAAGGTATGAGGGTAGGAAAGCTGGCACTTTGAGGTTGTAAAGACTTGTATTTGAAATCCAACTCTTCCATTGACTGGTTGTTAGACTGAAGCCATGTTCCTTTACCTCTTAGAGCTCCCATTTTTCATTTATAACATGACATCATGCCCACAGAACCTCCAAGATACAATAGTATATAGTAATTCTCAGTGTCTTTGTCTCCCTCTACTTTATATCAGTGGAGACATGCCATTTTCAAGGCTGAGAATAAAAGAAAAAACAGATTGTATTGACAACAGGTACTGCAGAGTTGGGTGTATTCATTGCCCTAGAAAGAGTCAGCCAGAGAGCTGTTAATCTGAGGTTGCCTGAGGCCATGTTTCATGGTAAGTACTACAGATTTTCAAGCCTATTCCTCACTTGGGTTAATTGGCTTTAAGAGTCCATCTCCTGCTGTGTAAACATAATTGCCTTTTATTTATTTGAAATTTACCTCTTCATAATTTCATGTCTTATTTTCTTCATTTGCAATGCAACAAGGAAATAGCTTTATGATGAGTATTCTTATGAAAGTGATTATTTAATTATCTCTTATTATGGGCCATATATATCATGAAGACATCTTAGTTTATTCTCAAAGCACCATCCCGGAATATCTATTATTTGTGACATTTTACTGATTAGAAAATAGATATAAATGCCAAGAATATTACTTTGCCACTTAGTATTATGTGACCTTGGCTTTTAGGTCCCTTTTACATCTTATTATTTTTACTATTTTTATTTTTTTGAGTTGGAGTCTCGCTATGTTGCCCAGGCTGGAGTGCAGTGGCACAATCTGGGCTCATTGCAACCTCCGCCTCCCAGGTTCAAGCAATTCTCCTGCCTCAGCCTCCTGAGTAGCTGATAATACAAGCATGCGCCACTATGCCCAGTTAATTTTTTTTTACATCCTATTATTAAACCTCCTTTACATTTTAGTTTCCTCAACTGCATAATGGAAGATAAGAATAAAACCTGTGCAAAATGAACTTGATGTGAATATTAAAGAAGTCAACATGAATGAAATACTTAAAACAGTGTCTGGTATATTCTGATAAATTACTGGTTAGTTTCTATCATTATTTTTCTAATCAGCATTTAAAAAGTTTAGAGCAAAATTTCTCTCTTGGCCATTTTGTTCCATCCATGGTATCTCTTTCCTGCAATAATATTCCATTTTACAGCATTTCCCACATCCATTTGATGCTTTCAACAATCCTGTAACTCAGCATCACTATTGTAATTTTTCAGGTGAACAAACTAATGCTCAGAAAGGTGAACGTGAATTGCGCCAAGTTCCTTTGGTTGCAAGCAACAGAAACCAACTAATGCTAGTATAAACTAAATAGAGAAATTCATCATAAGATATAAGTGTGACTTATCAAAATGAAGTTCATGAATGAGTTACAGGGAAGAGCCCTGAAAATGACAACAACTGCAACAAAGAAAGCCATAGGGAACCCAAGCAATGTGGCCTCTCTTCTTTCTCCCCTTTTCTCTACTTAGCTTTAGTTATTTTTCTCTGCAGATTGGCTTTCTCAGCTACTCAGTACATATAGTTGGAGAAATGGCAGGCTCCCAAATTCATATGTTATTATGCCAACCACAGGGTAGATTGAACTTGTACCTCTCTTTTTGGATTCTGCATTGCCACAGATGGAACTCTGGTTTGACTAGCCTGGGTCAAGAGCCTTCCCCTAATCCAATCAATCATTGTCAAGAAGTGGGGTCACAATGTACTAACATTGCTGCTGGGAACTCACTCCTGTAGATTCTTGTAGGAAGGCCATGGGCAAGTGAAAGACACTCCAGAGGAGGCCCAGAATATGAAATGATTTTCCTAAGCCATTTCAAATGTTGGAGTGGCTGAGGCAGGATTCTCTTTCAGATATTCTTTTCCCATGAGATCAGCACTTTTCCCACAAGCCTTCAGTTTCTTCCTTTCAGGAGGTCAGCACCTCCTCAAGTTCCTGCTGGAGGAGATCTGGGTACTCTTCTAACTGTAGCCCTTCTGCAGATGGAGCTAGCCTCACACACAGGCAGTGTGTCCATAGTGATTGGATATTATTCTTTACTCCTCCTCCTGGTAAAAGAATTTTGCATCCTAAACTTGACCCTGTGACTTTCAGTGTTTCTCTGGAGGAGGGATGTACTTCTCCATATTACTGACACCAGACTTGGGTATATGACTTGTTTTAGCCAATGGTACCTAAATGGGAATGATTTAGGCCAAGTACAAGCAGAAACATTAAGAACCATTTGCAAGGTTCAGCCATGTCTTTTTTTTTCTCTTCCACAATAATAGCATGTCCCAAATATGGGCTGTTCCTTCAACCTGGGTCTTGGAATGAAGAAGATATATGGAGTAGAGCCATGAACACACTGTTGCTGCCTCTGACAACAACACAAGAGAGAAATGAACCTTTGAAAAATAACATATCTGAGTTCAATGTTGAGCATGCTGAGTTGAGGTGCATAGGGGATAAATTCAGTAGGATATATTAGTTTGAATTTTAGGAAAGAGAGCTAGATGAGAGTTACATATTGTTGTTCATCTGGCCACAGATGGTACTTGAAGCTTCGAGATTCATTGAAATCCCAGGGAGAATAGCAGCATAAAAGAGGGAGGGAATAAACATTGACTCAACAACATTAAAGTGATGGTAGAGGAAGAGAAGTGTGGGGGAGGTTGGGAAGGACGGGCAGGGGAAATGGAAGCCACATTAGCTATAAAGAAAAGTGAGTTATCTTCAGCTTCAGCACTGGAATTGCTCTTGAGAAAGAAATGCCTTTGTTCTTGTCTTTCAGTAATATCACTTCATGTGAGCTTGAAAACAGCCTTGTGAGGTGTAGTTAGAGGAGAATAGACACATTCGTCTCCAAGGTAGAAGTGAGGAAACTAAGACTCAAAGGAATAAACACCTTGCCCAAGTTTTTTTAAAAATTTAATTTGAAATTGTGGTGAACAAAACCCACATAATATAAAATTTACCATCTTACCCACTTCTAAGTATATGGTTCAGTAGTGTATAATATATTCACATTGTTGTGCAACCAATCTCCAGAACTTCTACATCTTGCAAAATTGAAAATCAGTACCAATTAAACATTAACTCCCCATTCTCCTCACCCCACATCCCTGGGAAACCACCATTCTACTTTCTGTCTCTATGGATTTGTCCACTCCAGGTACCTCATATAAGTGGAATCCTATAATATTTGTCCTTTTGTGTGTGGCTTATTTCACTTAGCGTAGTGTGCTCAAGGTTCATTCATGCTGTAGGATGTGTCAGAATTTCTTTCCTTTTTAAGGCTGAATAATACTCCTTTGTGTATACAGACCTCATTTTGTTTGTTCATTCATTGTCAATGGACACTCCAGCTGCTTCCACCTCTTGGCCCCTGTGAATCATGCCTCAGAGCATGGGTGTGAGGCATTGTCTTTTTGAGGCAAAGAGGACAGAAGGGGGACCCTGAGAGCATGTTGTAAAGACAATAAAAAAGATTTCATTACTGCCCTGTATGAGGAAATGAGGGGAGTTTTGCTCCTGAAGGAGTCAGGGAAAGAAGAATGGAGAGGGGCCAAAAAGGAGAGGTGGTGAGAGATGATCCAGGGAGGTGGGGAAGGGTAGGGATTATCTGGGGTGAAGGGGCCAGTGAAAATTGTCTATTGTTTTGTGGTCAAAGAACAGAGGTATTTTGTGTTCAATATAAAGTGGTTAAAGTGCATATTTTGTTTCACTCTTCCTTCTTAGCACATTTTAGGAAAATCTCCTATACATAAATGCTCTGTATGAGTTGGTTTTTGGTGGTAACTGAAGAAGAGGTTAGTTTTCCATCCAGGTTGACATGGAATAGACAGAGCAAGTGAATGGGGAGGGCAACACAAGCTGTACACTGTCCCATGCAGAGAGGCAGTTGTTTCCAGAGGCAACTACAAGACTGCAAGCCCCCTGGGAGTTCACAGACATTTGGGGGAGGGATCTGGACTTCCATGGAACCCACTTTAGGGCTTTGAACTTCCATGGAACACAGTTGGGAGCTTTGAGTCAATCTTGTCTAGATCGTGCTTCTTAAACTTGAGTGTGCCCAAGCATCGCCTGGGGGTCTTGATCAGGTGCAGATTTTGATTGCGTTAGCTGCTGTGGGGCTTGGGATTCTGCACTCCAAATGATCTCAAGCACATAGGTGATGGTGGTGCTGCTGGTCTGTGGACCACACTTTGGGTTGACCAAACCTACAACCCGAAAGATCTTAAAAGTTTGAGAGAGTCCTGGTGGCAATCATAGCATCCCCCTTCCCCCATCATGCCCCAACATACCATTTCCTGGGAAAATAGGGCTCTCCTACCCTCTCAGAGCAAGGCTGTGACACAGAAGTTCATGAAGAGCCTCTGTTCTCTTGTTAATCATTCCATACCCCAGTCCCTCCTCCATCCCCCACTCCTACAGGGTGGAGGTCACACTGGGGTGCATTGAGTAGCCCATTCTGCATGCTTTGGCCCAGGTTATTAGAACAACAAACAGCAGGGGGGACACCAAAGACTCTTTCTCCATGATTGGCCTCAGGAGTCCTTCTCTCAGAAAGATGGACAGAGGTGAAGAAAAATTAAACACTGGTATTTTTCTTCAGAAAAGTCGCTCTGGGTAGCCAAGCATTAATTGAGTACTTGGTTGTGAGAGGGCTGTGTGGTAAACTCCCTTGTTTTCAACAGATGTTGAAGGAGTCTGAGCCAGAGTTCAGGAAAAATGTTCTCTCTACATATCCACCCCAGCCCCTGAGCTGTGATAAAGTTGGCTAAACTACATTCAGGTCAAGTCAGGCTCTGGTAACCTCACAGAAACATGAGAATTTACTGAATGTGAAGTGGAAACGTGAAGTGGCTGGAGAGCATCCAATGAGAGGAAGAGGAGGGGACCTCACTGAACTGGGCACCTGTCCTGATTCCAGCCCTGTGCTAGGAGCTTCAGGGTCTAAGAACTTCAGGTCCTGTATACATGATGAATGAATCCCCCTGCTGCTTTCCTTTGCTGGGGAGGTAGGGACAGCCCAGCTCACTCAAGATGGTCTCACTGTGGCAAGACCATCTTCACTTATATCTGAAATCTGCCCTTCTAAAATATCCATGCTATAGGCTTCTGTGCTAATGCTGCCCTTCATAGCCACAGTAAGCAGGACAGCATCACATCTCGGCAATACATTTCACAGTTAACAAAGTACATCATGGTCATATCCATTGGCCTATCTCATTTTAGAACTACCTGGGAGAAAACAGGGGGCAAGTATTCTCCAGGGCTTGGATCAGGACATGGAAACCTTAAGATGCTGCTTGGACTCGTGGTAAAGTCACAGGCACTAGAGTCTGACTGCCTAGGTTCAAAGCCCAGCTGCTCATTAGCTGCGTGTCTTTGGACAAGCCCCTCAAGCCCTGTAAGCCTGGGTTTTCTCATCTGTAAAATGGGGTTAATGATATTACATACTGGAGAGGGCTATTGTAATGACTAAACAAAAGTAAAGTGTCTTACCTCTGGGTTATAGAAACTTCTTTCTGCTATTGAGGAGGGAGAGAAGAAAATGATGGAGGTTGAGTGACTTGCTCAATGCCACAAAATGGCGGCATCATATGAAGAACGCAGATATTCTGATGTTAACTCCAAAACACTTTCCATGAAATTCAATATCTTGCATTACTAGGTGTTTCAGAGACTGAAACTCCCCAGTGATCCCATGTTGGCAGGATTTAGCCCCACACTGTACTGCTCACAATAGGTGATTACACTGTGGTATGGTCAGGGAGTAGCGGCCTTCCTTGAGTCCCCTGCAGCATGAAATTGTTTTGTTAACACTTCATGCCTAGGAGTTAGGCTGCCCTTTTCCCTTCAGTGTCTTTTAAAATGCAAACACCCTAGCAGGGTTGGGGGCTAAAGAAGGGAACCCACATTGACTGAAAGCCTGTCATGGTTCAACCATTCCACAGAAGTCAGCTCCCTGCATGCTCACAATATTTGTGCAAAGCACGGTGTTATTCCTGCTTCATATGTGAAGAGAAAAATGAAAGCCCAGAGAGATTAAGTAACTTACCTGAGGTCACACAACTAGCATTGGATGGGATAAGGATTTGAACCACAGAAGTCTGACTCCGGGGTCTACACTCCTAATCACTAGGATGCAGCCCCTAATCGGATGCTACTTCTATCTTATAGGAAGAGGAGAAGATTAGTATTTACAGAGGACTTCTCCTGCATAGCACAGTTTATAGCTGTTTTGCCCTCCCTTGCTCATTCTCTATTCCATATCAACACAGATGTGAAACTTAATCCCTTTTTCATTTCCCACCCCCTCAAAAAAAAAATACTGCATACAGAGCATTTGTGTGTAGGAGATCTTCCCCAAATATGCCTTTACACGTAAATATACATTGTCTCATCTGACCCTTCCACCAACACTACAAGATGAACACCAATTGCCCTTAGTTTTGCAGCTGGTGAAGCTCAGAGAGGTTAAGTAACTTGCTGAGTAACTATCTATTGAGTGGGAACTCAGCTAGCTCATCCTCTAGGCCACACTGCCTCCAAGCTTGCAGGCAGTGTCTAACATACACCCCGGGGGCCTTAGTCAGATTCTTTTAGGATGTCATAACAGGCAGCTGGGGCTGGGCAGGCCCAAAGTTCAGCCCCTCCAGAAAGAATTCTCATTCACCAGGGTGGGGAGGTCACTGGGGAGTAATGAGGGGTGGTGGTGGGGGTATCCAACACAGCGGGTGGAGTAGGTTTGCAGAGAGTTTGGGATGGGAAGGAACGAATGCTACAGGCAGGCTGTCAGTGTCAGGAATTTCAGCTATTTTCCAGAAGATAAGTCTGACCCACTGTGGATCTTGGAATCCAGCTATGTGTGTACCCAAGCAAGCCAGAGATTCAACAGCATATGGTCCACAATAGGCAGGTGTGCCCCACCAAGGGCAGATGATAAGGGCTCACAGATGGAATGAGGCCAAGAAAGAATCAAGCAGGACCCCTCTTGGGGTAACTGCAGAGGTCCGGGGTATCATAGTGGTTAAGAGAGAAGATTTCTGAGGCCACATCACCTGGGTTCCAACCTGAGCTTCTCAGGTTTTAGCTGTGTGTCCTTGGCAAGTAACTTAAGTCCTCCGTGTCTCATGTTCCTCACCTATCTAATGGAAATATTAATAGAATTGAACCCATAAATGCGTTATGGAGATTAAATAAATGAGAAAGAGAAAAGCACTCCCTGACTTCTCACAGGACTATGAACTGACCGAGCACTGAAAGCTAGGCCTCCATGTTGGGTGCTGGCCTGGCACTCATGGCTAGGTTGAGGTGTTCTCCCATGGAACATGAATAATCTCACAAGTGATACAAAATTTTTAAAAAGACTATTTTATAATTTTTTGCCAAGCACAGACAAAAACAGGGTCACTGTGCAAACCACAAAAATACCAAATATCTGCATCTCCCAACTAATATGAGTGATTGCTGCTTCTTTACTAAGGACTTCTTAGGCCTCCTTCTAGTCTTCTCTCCCTCTAGATAAGATTCATTAAAATACTCAATCATAGGATCATCCCCATTTTCTGGCAGCACCCAATACAGAGCAAACCCCCACTTCCGTAAACTCTCTCCATTATCACCTAACTCAAGCTCACAGCATGTAAGTGCTTTCTAATACCCTCTACTGAGGCACCCCATGAATCTCTATGACGTGATTTCTCCCTCATTGCAACACATCAATAAGCTCAATTTTGTTCAACTACAGTTGTGTTCCTGGTGGTTTTTGGCTGGAGGGCATGGACGTAAGTTAATAACTGGAAAGCGTGTAGAACAGTTCCTGGCACAGGAAAAGTACCATGTAAGGGAGGCCATCATAATTGCTGGGTAGGTTACCAAGGCAGACTCAGGTACAGGAGGGAAAGCAACAGGCAGGACAGAGGCCAAGTGGAATAGTGGATTTAAGGCCAGGGGACTTCAATTTACATCCCTTCCTACTACTCATAGCAGTAACTAACATGCTATTAAGCACTTCAGAAGGGCCAGGCAAGATATTGAGTATTTAATGTGGATGATCTCATCTATTTACTGTGTTACCAGAGGCAAGTTGCTTAACCTCTCTGAGCCTTAGTTTCTCCATCTGTAAAAAAATGGGAAAAAGAAAAATACTTACCTCATAGGTTTGTCCTAAGACAACAATGAGAATGTAAGTGTGCTGCAGGCTAGGAAATTATATAAAAATATGACTTCAATGGGCAAAATCTGGGCTACAGGCATAAGGCTGCCTGGTTATGCCAACTTAAATCCAAAGTTGGCAAGGGAGAGAGAGCTAGGCTGATTTAAAGTAAGGTCACTTAAATTCCTGTATCATTTTACATTAGTATTGTTGAGGCTGTTTGACTGTGAACTTTGTTGCTTTGCAACAAGAGGGGAAGGGCATCACTCTCAGGATTCCCTTCATGTAGCCTCACGCTGCCACGGAGCTCCTTGTTTGGGGAGACCAGGAGTGATGCAAGCTTTGTTTCATGTCCCTTACTCACATAAGCAAGAAACTTGTTCAAGAACTGGTTTCTTGGACAAAATGAGAATATAGTTAATTTTTACTCTATATATTTGTGATGAGGATCAAAGAAGAAGGTGGGTATGAGACTGTTGTAAGCTATGATGGGGACGTTATCAGTCCCTCTGAGGCTGCTTCCTGCAGAGCAGTCTCTCACTTGGGAATTCAATTGGCTGTTGAGGACTGAGTTCTTGCCCAAGGTGCTTGTTCGTGTATTGGTGTGAATTAACGCCCGCCCTGTAAAGCCACAAGCATTAGGTAGGGTACAGGGTAAGTGTACCAGGGATCCCTACACTGGACTTACGTGAAATAGAACTTTATTTCTCTCTTACCTAATAGTCCAGAGGAATGTAGTCAGGTGAGTGGGGTGGCTCTGCTCCACAGGGCACCCCATGTGACTTCCAACTTGTTTTTGCACCATTCCTACAGTGTTGGCTTCATCTCTGGTTGAGGCTGGGTTACTGTCTTATTCCATTTCCAGCCTGCAGGGAGAAAAAGAAGCAAGTCCAGCATAAGGGACTTTGTTTTTAAAGAGGGTGACCTGGAGGTTTCAGGCATCACTTACCCTACCTCACATCCCCACACTGCAAGGAAAGATGAAAAATGGAGTCTCCAGTTGGGTGACCATGTGCCCAGCTTCCATTTGGTAGTTTTATTATTCTAAGTTCAGAAGCAGAAATAGCAGAAGCAAGGAGAGCATTACAGGAAGGAATGCTAATCAGTTCACCCACTGGATCACTGAGCCAGAGCTAGTATCTGTACTGAGTAAATATATGGGTGAAAATCAGACAGAGAGTTTATTCAGATGTTTGAATTACACAACGCCAAAAGTCAAATATTTCGAGCCATTCTAGCAAATCTTTACATTTTTTTGTTTCCCTGTAGATCTTGGCACTGGGCCGGCAGAGCCTAGTTTACATAATTTACTATGTGAGCACTCATATACACCCACACACCTATAAGCAGGTATGTACATACATACATAATATATACATATACATACATGCACATATAGATTTAATATGCATAGATCTTAATCATGTACTAAAGGAATGTAAAACATTACTTACTCTCCCTCTTTTTAGCATAATAATGAAATTGTTGAAAAAAATGAAGTCTTAGGAACCAGAGATAGGGGCTCAAGTGTAGCCTATGACATTGGTACATGTTGTAACTCTGGGAAGTTATTCAATTTCTCTTGACTTCAGCTTCCACATTTGTAAAATGAGTATGATATTACCTGTTTGAAAAATTGTTTTGAAATTAAATAAAATGCCATACTTATTTGCCAGACATAATGCTTTAAGTATAGTTGGTACATAATACATATTAACTTATTTTATTATTATTATTATTGGGCAAGTGAGGCCCAAGCAAGTTAATAGTAAACTAGGAATTTTTCATCCCCTACTTCCTTCCTCAATATAAAGCAAGACCCTTTTGAAACATGTGCTGCTCTCAGGTACACTTATTTCTTTTTAAAACTTGGTAAGATTTTTAAAGTAAATTGTTTATTGAAGTATAATATCCATACTGAAAAGTACACAAATCCTAAGTGTATAGTTCACTGATTTTTTTCAAATGAGAATCTGTCTCCAGGCTATTAGCAGTTAAAAAACAAAAAACAAAAAACAGAAGATTCTCAGAGCCTAGAAACCCCTTTCATTATATCCCCTAAGTATAATTGGTATTTTACATTATAGACTAATTTTGCTGTTTTATACTTTATACAAGTAGAATCACAAATAGATATTCTTCATAACTGGCTTTTTTTTCACTCTATGCACTATTTGAGACATTTATCCATATTGTTTTTTGTAGTTATAGCTTGCTTGCTTCTTCTCAATTCTATACAGTGTTTTCATGAATACACTACAATGTATTTATCCATTCTACTGTTGATGGACATCTGGGTTGTTCCTGGGTTTTGGCTATTATCAATAATCCTGTTAACAAACATTCTTGCATGTGTCTTTGGTGAACCCATTTCCACTGGGTACATACCTGCAAGTGGAATTTCTGAGTGTTAGGATTTGTACATGTTTACCTCCTGTGGATACTGCCATGCAGTTTAACCAAGTGGTTGAAGGATCTCCTACTTTTAACTTGTGGGGACATGAGAGGCTTTGATAGTTCCATCTGCTCCCAATCTCTCCCTCACTGGACCTATGCTTCCTGGAATCCAGGAATTTTACTATTTGGACTCAGTAGCATCAGGGTAACCCAATATATTAGTTATTTATTGCTATGCCACAAATCCCCTCCAAACACAGTGGCCTTAAACAAAAATACGTATTTATTATTTCTGTTTCTGTAGCTCAAGAATTTGGGAGTGGCTTGGCTGGTGGTTTAAGCTTGAAGTCTCTAATAAGATTGAATCCGGTGTTGGACTGGGCTATAGTCATCTGAAGGGTTGCCTGAATCTAGAGGATCGACTTCCATGGTGGTTCTCTCATATGACTGGCAAGTTGGTACTGGCTGTTGGCAGGAGGCCTTAATTTTTCTGTGTATTAATCTATCTACAGGGTTGCTTGGGTGTCCTCACAACATGGTGGCTGGCTTCCCCCAGTGGGAGCAATCCTAGATCCCAAGGTGAAAGCAGCAATGTATTTTATGACATTGCCTCGACATCACACACTGTCATTTTCTGAGTATTTTATTGGCCATAAAGTAATCCTTATTCAATATGAGAGGGGACTATAGAAGGGCATAAACTCCAGAAAGTGATGCTCATTAGGATCCCTCTTGGAGGCTGGCTACCACATCATTAAGCCCTTCCTAACACCAAATAAAGATGTTTCTTTGTGATAATTGGAGCTATAAGTGATTAGCACAGGAAACAGGTAAATTGTGATAGACATGGAGAGAGAAAGAAGAGGAAATATAGAGAATAAGTTAAGTCCAGGGAGAAAGACAGGCTTGAATAAAGCATCCAAGAGGCAGCTGAGTATCTGGGCAGGAGTGAATGAAAAAATAAAGTATATGTGTGTGGTGGGGTTGGGGGATGGGGACTGTAAGTAGAGGCCATAAAGTGCTTTCATTTACTTACTAATTAGATTAGGATTTTCACTGATGAAGACTCAAATCTGATATTGTTTGGATAAAAGTATTAACCCAAAGTATTAGCAATTTTTCTCATAGGCCATGTAATTTACCTTCCATCCATTAATTTATCCATCTCGAATTAAGCATGCAGAAAAATGCCAGGAGCTATTCTAGAGGGTGATGGGGGATGCAGAATTGAGCAAATATACAAACCCTGACACGGGGGGTGAGAGAGGGAACTAATATGTATTGAGAATCTGTTGTGTTCTAGGACATTCACATTTATTGTCTTAATTCTCATAACTACTCTAGACGTTGGTATTATGGTTCCCATCATGCAGATGAACAAACTGAGGCTTGAGAGTTTAACTGACCTACTGAGAGTTAGAGCTGAAAAGTAGTGAAGCTGAGTGCACTTGTACAAAGTAGAAAGTGAGTAAGTGCCAGAGAAAAGTACAGATACAGTACAATGGCATTCAGGCAATGGCGTAAGTTCTGTTGCTTGGGGAGGTAAGAGGGAGCTTCATGAGATGGTAGCATTTTAGCTGAGTCTTAGTAGATGAGTAGGAGATGATGGAGAAAGGCCATGTGTCAGGAGTAAAGTGTATCAAAAACAAAAGCATAAAGGGAGAAATGGATAATTTTAAATAAAATTTATAGGAGGCCATTGATTTGGACTGAGCTCCTGTACCAGGTCCAAAAGACCAAACCAAAATGGAATCATTCATGTTAAATTTCCACATCACCAAGCTGAGACAAAATTGTTTATCTGACTTTCTGATAAATCAACAGAGAGAGAAATAATAGCCAAAACCTCAAACAAGCTAGTTTTAGCTGGCCTTTATAAGGCCAGCTTTGACCTTTATAAGGAAAGTAACTTTGAAACAACCAATCTGCTTTTTATTTTCTGTTTCTGCTTTCCTTGGCCCCTTTCTGTTTATAAAACCATCTTCTGCTCGGCTTATGGGAACACTGAAACTACTTTGTAGAATGAGGTGTTGCCCAATTCTGGAAACAAACGAAAGTCAATTAGGATCTCTAAATTTGTTGTAATTTTGTCTTTTGACAATATTAATATGCACAGAGAAACACACATAGATATATACAATGTGCCTGTAATGAAACATGCATAAAGAAAAGAAGTGGCTCATATGGGTGAATAAAATGGGTTCAGGCCACACAAATACTGGACAGATGCCAGACGTAGTAGTTCTTTAAAACAGCAGAGAGTCAGAGAAGGCTAGATCATTATTTTTACAACCATGAACTCCCTTTCGTCTGTTTGGATAACATCTTCTTCAAGGTTTTTCAAAATTAAATTATGAGTGCACCTCTGCATACACACAGCAAAAATCGTAAATTGACAAACTGTGTGAGATTGTCCACATTACTGAATACAAAATGAGAAATACCATTGATCAATGACAATGCCAACAAGTGTACTTTTATTAACTAAGTTGTGAAATCTTGGGCAATGAGAACCCCAGAGCGAGGAGGCCAAGAAAGGGGTAGGATATAAGTTTTAGACATAAAACAGATTAGCAAAAGAAAGAGCAAGGTATTCTAGTGGTCAGGTTGCTGCTAGTTAGAGATGAGAGAACTCCTAGAAAAGACAGCATGCCTTGGGACACTGATTTCCAGAAAAATGCAAGGATCTCAGATCTAAGAAAGGCTCAAGGAATTATTTACTCTACCTTTGTGATTTAAATATGAGAAAACTGAGGCAAAGAAATAGGAGTCACTTGTCCTTTTAGAGCAGAGCTCCTTCTAAGATACCCCAGCCTCATGAGAATAGGATGTAATCCTTAACCTCAAGAAGGCTGTGAGAGTGGACAGCTCTTTGAAAATTGCCAGGTGTAAATCATGACTGTTATGAGTAGGTGTGTGTCCTGTCCAAATTTAGAATTTGAAGACCTAACCTCCAGTACCTTACAATGTAACTTTATTTGGAAATAGGGTCAGTGCAGATGTAATGAGTTAAGATGAGGTCATAATGGAATAGGGTTGGCCCTGATCCAATATGACTGTTGTCGTTATTAAAAGAGAAAATTTAGACATGCACACAGGGAGAATGCCACATGAACATGAAGGAAGGCAGAGATTGGAAAGATGCATCAATAAGCCAAGGAATGCCAAAGGTTGCCAGCAAACCACCAGAAGCTAGGAGGCAGGCCTGGAACAGATGCTCCCTCATAACCCTCAGAAGGAATCAGCCCCATGGACACCTTGACCTTGGACTTCTCATCTCCAGGACTATAGACAATACATGCCTGTTCTTTAAGCCAATCTTCTTTGTGGTACTTTGTCATGGCATCTCTAGGAAACTAATACAATAGCTGTAAGAAAGAAAGATTACATAGGAGCCACAGGAAGTTGGCAGTGTGAAGGAAGGAACACTACATTAATAAAATGTTAAGCCATGCATTAATTCATTCAAACACTGGGTGTGTACAAGGCACCTAGCTTGGTCCTAAAGCACATACATGTAGAATTAGAATCAGACCCTTCCTGCCTTTGAGAAGCCCAAAGTGAGGCCCAGTGAGGCACATAACACAAGTAAATGTTATGGGGTCCTAAAGGCATGAGATGGAAAAGGTTTGAATGTAGAAGATGACATCTGAGCCAGGCTTTGAAGAATGAGTGTGTTTGCTTGCTGGTTGCTTAATAGAGCTGATTGTTTCTGCCACCAGAAAGGGCCTCCTAAAATCTCCTGTCTGGTCCACATAGATTTTGCCATCTAAAGGGCAAAATCACAGACATGCTAAGTTTGTTCAATCCAGCAGGTCAAACAAACAACTCCAACAACCCAGGCCAATTGCCTTGCTCCCCTGCCCTAGTTGGACTGCCATTTATAGGAAAAATGGAAACAGAGATGCTGACCTCTGGCTGCTCGGGCCTGAGTCCCCCTGGAGCTTCAGGCTCGTGCAAGAACTGGCTTCAGAAATTCACCCCTGTGGGGGGTCTTCCTATTCTGGCTGCTCAGACCTCTCTGCTGTGCTAAAAAGTCAGATTGTGTTATTTATGTATTAAAAACAACAACAAAAATAACCTTTTCTTTCCAAATGTCCCATGTATGGAAAGCCAAGCCTTCAGCAGCTCATTAATATGTTGATGTTTTAAAGGACTAAGCTTCCAGGCCCTGAAACAGGAGCCAGGCCTGCTGGCCTTGGCCTTGAGATCTCTTGGCTCTCCCTATTAAGGCCCCCCAGGCTCCTCAACTTTAGCTCCTGGCGGTCACTGCTCTGAGCAATGCTGCTAGGGAACACAGTGAAGAGCAGAGCCAATTGCAACTGGAGCCACGTCTGCCTCTGTGATGATGTCAAATGTGCTGAGGAGAGGGAGGCCTCTCTTGACTCAAATTACCTCTCCAGTGGTCTGACATATTCCTTGAAATTCCATTAAGATGATGGAACCTATCCTCTATGTTCTTCTTTTTCTTTTTTCTTTTTTTTTTTCCTTTTTTTTTTGTTGTTGTTGAGACAGAGTTTTGCTCTTGTTGCCCAGGCTGGAGTGCAATGGCACCATCTCAGCTTACCGCAACCTCCGCCTCCTGGGTTCAAGTGATTCTCCTGCCTCAGCCTCCCAAGTAGCTGGGATTACAGGCATGCGCCACCACTATGCCTGGCTAATTTTGTATTTTTTAGTAGAGACAGGGTTTCTCCATGTTGGTCAGGCTGGTCTTGAACTCCCAACCTCAGGTAATCCACCCGCCTTGGCCTCTCAAAGTGCTGGGATTACAGACATGAGCCACCGCACTGGCCTCCCTCTATGTTCTTAAGGGAGAACAATGGAACGGGATGGGGGCAGGACAGAAACCAGCAGTCTGCTTTGCTTGGCTGATTACATTGGTTAGGGCCTGCAAACTCATTTGCCCCAGGTCCTAAGCTCCCTTGGGGTATTGCATCAGCCACCATCCACTATGGTTGTTGCCTGTCTGGCCCCTCCAGGCATTTGTTTTTGTATCTCTTGCTCAACCCATCCCTACACATGGTTTTGACCACTACCTGGGTGGAAATATTTCAAAAATTTCCATCCCTGGCCCATGCCTTTTTCTTCAAGCTCATGACTCTTCTAATTGCTTGTCCCCAAGTGCTTCATCCTTAATTAACTCATCATCATTCCTCATAAAACAACCCCTCTCTAGTTTCCCAAGTCAGAAACCTGGAAAGCATCCTTGAACCTTACCTTCTAGCATATCCAATTAGTCACTACATTCTACTAACATTACTTCCTAAAAGTTTCTCATAACTATTTCCTCCTCTCCATTTCTTTCTAATACTACTCTAATTGGTAACTACATCATCTTTTGCTTAAACTATTACAACAGCTTCTAAAAGGTCTCTCAACTATCAGCTCATCTCCACCCAGTCCATTCTCTACTTGACAGCCAAAGTATTTTTGTAAATGTAAATCACACTATAAAACTGGAATAGAAAAAAATACCTCAACGTAATTAAGGCCATACATGAAAAACCCACACCTAACCTCGTACTCAGTGGTGACAAACTGAAAGCTTTTCCTCTGAGATCAGGAATAAGAAAGATGCCTGCTTTTGCTACTTCTGTTTAACATAGTAGTGGAATTCCTGGCTAGAGCAATTAGGCAAAAAAAACAAATAAAAGGTATCCAAATTGGAAAGGATGAAGTAAAATTGTATCTGTTAGTGGATGAGATATGAACTGATTTAGGGAAAACTCTGAATTCCACAGGACACTGCTAGAACTAATAAATCAGAAAAGTTGCCAGATACAAAACTGATGCACAAAAATCAATTGCATTTCTATAAACTCAACATAAGTAATCTGAAAAAGAAATTAAGAAACAATTCTATTTGTAGTAACATCACAAAAATAATAAAATAGAAATGAACTTGACCAAGGAAACAAACAACTTACACACTGAAAACTATAAAACATTGCTGAAAGAAATTGAAGAGGACACAAATAAATGGAGAGATAGCCTGTGTTTATGGATTGGAAGACTTACTATTATTAAGACGTTGACACTACCCAAAGCAATCTATGGATTAAATGCAATTTATATCAAAATCTCAATGACATTTTTTGCAGAAATTTTTTGGATGTTTTTCCTAAAAATCTGTTCTAAAATGTGTCTGATATCTTGAGGAACCCAGCTAGTCAAAATAATCTTGAAAAAGAAGAACAAAGTTGGAGGTCTCAACTTCCTGATTTCAAAACTTATGGTAAACTATAGTAAAACAGTGAGTGCAGGGGTGGTGGCTCATGCCTGTAGTCCCATCAATGAGGGGGGCTGAGTCAAGAGGATCCCCCAGGAGTTCAAGGCAGCAGTGAGCTATGCTCATGCCACTGCACTCTAGCCTGGGCAACAGAGCGAGACCTCGTCTCTTAAAAAAATGAACAAACAAAAAGCACATACAAAAAACAGTGATGTACTGGTATAAAAGTATAAAGATAGACATAGACAAATGGAATAGAATAGAGAGCCCAGAAGTACACCCTTGCATATATGGTCCAGTGATTTTCAACAAGGGTGTCATGACCAGTCAATGGGGGAAAAGACAATCTGTTCAACAAATAGTATTGGGAAAACTGATTGTCCACATTCAAAAAAATGAAGCTGGATCCTTACCTTACACCATATTCAAACTTAAAATTGATCAAAGACCTAAACAAAAGAGTTAAAAATATAAAAGTTTTAGAAGAAAACATATGAGAAAATGTTCATGACATTGGATTTGGCATTGATTTTTTGGATATGACCTCAAAAGCACAACAAAAGAAAAAATAGATGTTAGACTTCATCAAAATTTAAAAACTTTTGTGTGTGAAAGGCCAGTATTAACAGAGTAAAAAGGCAACATATAAGATGGGAAAAAATACTTACAAATCCTATATCATATAAAGAACCAATGTCCAGAATATATAAGGAACTCCTACAACTCAGCAACAAAACAACAATCCAATTTAAAACTAGGCACAGAACTTGAATAAATATTTCTCCAGAGAAGATATTCAAAAAATGAATAAGCACTTAAAAAGATGCTCAATATCACTAGATGTTAGGGAAAGGCAAATAAAAGCCACAATGAGATATCACTTCACACGCATTAGGATGGCTAGTATATGAAACCCAACCAACCAACCAACCAAACAAACAACCAAACCAACAAAATCAAAAAAATTCAGAACATAGGGCCAGGTGGGGTGGCTCATGCCTGTAATTCCAGCACTTTGCGAGGCCGAGGTGGGCAGATCATGAGGTCAGGAGATCAAGACAATCCTGACCAACATGGTAAAACCCCGTCTCTACTAAAAATACAAAAAAATTAGCTGGGCATGGTGGTGCATGCCTGTAATCCCAGCTACTTGGGAGGCTGAGGCAGGAGAATTGCTTGAACCAGGGAGTCGGAGGTTGCAGTAAGCCGAGATTGTGCCATTGCGCTCCAGAAAAAAAAAAGAAAAAAAGAAAAAATCCAGAACATAACAAGTTTGGCGGGAATGCGGAGAAATTAGAATGTGCACTGCTGGTGGGAAAGTAGATTGTGCAGCCATTGCGGAAAGCAGTATGGTGATTCCTCAAAAAATTAAACATAGAATTATCATGTGATTTAGAGATTTCACTTCTGGATGTATACCCAAAAGAATTGAAAGCAGCACTCAAACACATATTTGTACACCCATGTTCACAGCAGGATTATTCACAATAACCAAAAGGTGGAAGCAACTCAAGTATTTACAGACGGATGAATGGATAAACAAAATGTGGTATACACACAATTACAGAATACATGGAAAATGTGGTATATGTATAATGGAATATTATTCAGCCTTAAACAGGAAGGAAATTCTGACACATGGCTACAACATGGTTGAATCTTGAGGACATTATGCTCAGTGAAATAAGCCAGTCACAAAGAAAGAAACAATGTTGATTCCATTTACATGAGGTACCTATAGTAGTCAAATTCATGAAGACAGAATGTAGAATTGTGGTTTCCAGGGGCTGGGAGGAGGGGAGGATGGGGAATTAGTGTTTAATGAGTAGAGCGTTTCAGCTGGAGATGACAAAGTTCTGCAGATGGATGGTGGTGATGGTTGTATAATAATGTGAATTTACTTAATGCCACAGAATATTATACTTAAAAATTGTTAAAATGAGAAACTTTATTATATATATTTGACTACATAAAAATGTAAATCTGGTATGTTACTCCCTTGCTTAAAATCCTTAATGTTGTCCCATCACCTTGTCTTTAGCTCACAGACAAGGACTTTCTTCATCTGATCCTGTGTATATCCTCATCTCATAACTCCTTCTATTTTACCTTTCTTGTTTCAGGAACAAGTAAGTTCTAGTAGTTTCCCAAAGAGGAAGGTGGTTTAGCCAACCTGAACATACTCAAGCAGTTTCTTCTGCTGATCTTCATGGTCCCTGATTACACAATAAAATCAGCCAGAGAGCTCAAATCAATACTAGTGCCTGGGTACCACTCACAACCAATTAAATTAGAAACTCTTCTGGAGAAGACCCAATCATTAGTATTTTTTTAAGTTTCCCAGATGATTTGAATGGATAGCCACTACTTTAGAATATAATTTCCCACATGTCAGAGCCTGGCTAGTTAGCTCATTTATTCTTCAAAATTCAGCTCAGGCATCTCCTCCCCCAAGAAATCTTCCCTGATGCCACCTGCTAGGCTGGGTCTGGCACCCAGGCTCTGGGCTTCTGCAGGCCCCTGTTGCAGTTCTCACACTGTATTGCAGGTGTCATAACTTCACTCTCTCCTACCAGGCAGAACTCCTTGAAGGCAGGGATGATGTTTTGCTCATCCTGGTTGTCCCTGTTCCAGAGCAGGATCAGGGCCAGCAGATGCAAACTGTCTTCCCTTTCCCTTACTCACTTCCCCTTGATAAAGGTCTTCACATACATTTTCTCCTTTCAACAAAGGCCCCCCCAAAATGAGAACATTTGTCCAGTGAGTCACAGCAATGTGGCAACGGCAGAATTAGAATGAGTTTCTCCATTAGCCCAGTCCTGGCCCCTTCTTACTTAACAACCTAATACTATATGTGAAAATCAACAAAAGCATCCCTTAAGGACTTTCCCAAACTCTCCCTGAATCAGCAGCTGGAGGATAACTCATCCTCAGGAGTACTAAGGGGGCTTATCTGGAGGGTGAGTCTGCACACCTAATGGAAATGTGTGGTTCAATGCATGGGATTTGAAAATTGGGATTTAGAAATTAGGAGGCAAGAGTTTTGGGCCTGGCCCTCATATGATTTACTTGAACTTTCACAAATGAAAATGCCTCTTTGAACTTCAGTTTCTTCATCTATTAAGTGAGGATAGCAGTACTTTGCTTTCTAGCTCACAGGGTGTTTTGAAAGTCTGAAATCAGCCCATGAAGAATAAATAAATGGAGGTATATTCACACAATGGATATTATACAACAATGTGAATGAACAGACTATAATTCTATGCAATGTCACAAACATAATGTTGATGAAAGAAGCCAGACATAAAAGAGTATAATAACTCTGCATGATTATACACATATAAAGTACAAAAGTAGACACAGGTGGTCTATGCTGCTAGAGGTTAGGTTAGTGGCATGGTGATGGTGAATAGTGACTGGAAGGAGGCATGAAGGGGCCCCGGGATGCTTCATCTGAGTGCTCATTGCTAAGATTTATTCACTCTGTGAAAATTCATCAAGCCATATCTTTATATGTGTACTTCTCTGTATGTATATTATACTTCAATTAAAAGTCTTTTAAACTCTAAAACAAATGAGGCTCATAAAACATACAACACTATATAATGACAATACATAATGATAATGACTATATAGGTATATATAAAGATATATAAACATACGTATGTAGTATCTACACACACACACACACACACACACACAGACACAATCTACTTTTGTTGATGTCTTCTACTGAAGGCACAGTGGCAAATACTTTACACATGTTATCTCATTTAACCTTTACAGAAATTCCATTTAACAGAAGAGGAAACTGAGACCAGAGAAAATAAGAAATTTGCTTAAGATTATTCTGATCTTGGGCAGAAACAGGCTGTTCTCAGAGTCAGATTTCTGGCCAATTCAAAGTAAATAATTAAATAGGGTACAGGCTTTAAGATCAGGAAGAACACTCACTAACTCTGTGGACTTGGACAAGTTTCTTAACCTTTCTGTTGATTCAATCTCCTCATCTTTTGCACGGAGATAATAATACCTGACCTTTTGCAAGTCACAGGTGGTGAGGACTAATTAAAAAGAAATATAGGGGGAAAAAAAGAAGAGAAAGATCTATGACTCAGTCATTCAAGCTCTCCTGAAATACACAGGAAAGTCAGAAAACGACCTGCTTGGAGGGGTAAAACCTACTTTGGAAATGGAAGGAAACGGAAATGGAAATAGAAATAGAGAAAGAAAATGAAAATGGAGGTGAACTCTATAAGAAACTGACATATGACAAAAGATTTTGGAAACTCTTTTGTCTCATTTATTCATGGGAAAGGAATTATAAATATATGTATCATGCAAATTACCTTTAAAAATAATTTTAAAAACAATTTCTAAGGCAGTATGATATAGTAGAGAGAGTACCCTGAGTTCTAATTCTGATTTCACAACTTCAAATCCATAGTTATATTTGGAGATGTCATTTAAATGCTCTAAATATTTTGATCCCTATCTGTAAAACGGGACTGTTAAATACCTACCTGACTTCCTGGGGAGAATAACTTGAGAAAATACAGATACAAATAATTTGAAAGGTTAAAGTACCATTTGGGTCCAGCTTAAAGTCACTTTTACTAGCCATATGACTCAAATCATTTCACATTTCTGAAGCTGTTTACTCATCTGTGAAAGGCATGAAGATGAGCCTGTGTCATAGAATTGTTAAGGGGATTAAATGAAATAATGTAGTTAAATGCTTAGCATAGTGCCTCGCATGCATTAAGGACTCCGTAAGTGGCTGTGTTTATGACAGATATCAATGACTACAGCAATAGAAACATTACTGCTGGGAAATTTTTTTAAAGGTAAGATATATCAGGCGTTTTAGAGAAAAGAAGAATTCATAAAAAATGATAAAGTTCGTGTTTCTCAGACTTTTATATTTGTCCTTATCCTGAGAAACTACAACAGAACGGCATGCCCCAGGTAATGTGCTTCTCTGTGAATTTTCTTTGACTCTACAAGGTTAGAAGCCTCCCATCTCCTGTGATTGAACACTCCCAAGACATTGGATCATTTCCTGAACTTCATTTATTTAATAACTAATCTTTTATTGCCTCCTCATTTTTAAAGCTGGCCAGTCTTGTTCCCACCCCCACCCCCTTTCAAGGTCTCACCTCTTTAATCATTTGGATAATGCTGAGACACACTACAAAACATTTTAATGGAGGGCTGATAAGTGAAGGCCATTTTTCCTCCCGTCTGCTTCTCAACCAGCAGTATTTCGGATGATTTTCAATAATCCCAGCAAATCACTCATGTCATTCTCCCACAGCCACCTAGTTAATATTCCCAGTCAACAGGTTTCTTTTGGCTCTTTTGTCTGGGAAAGGCTGCTACACAGGGCCCCAGAACACCAGAAAAATGAGTCTGTACCTAGAATTTGCAGAAACCAAGCCCTCAACTTCAAGATGAACATTTTCCCAAGTTAATAATAATAGCTACCATCTCTGAGCCATAATTCTGTGACAGACACTGTGCCAAGCACTGTACCTGTTTTATCACATTTGATCCTCATAAAACCTGCTACAGAATACCTCTCACGTTCATGTTATGGATGGGGAAACTTAAGTGCAGGACAATGTTACTCAAAGTGTGGTCCTCTGAGCAACAGTATTGCCTGGGAATTTGTCAGAAAGCAAATTCTCCCGCTCCACCACAAACTTATTGAATAAGAATCTCTAGGGGTGGTGTTCAGAAATCTATGTTATAATAAGCCCCCCTGGTGACTCTGATGCAAGCCAAAGTTTGAGACGCTCTGGACTATTAAAGGTGAGTAATTTGCCAAGTTCACAGCGCTAATGAGGGGCAGAGTGAGGCTTGGAAATCAGAGCCTGACTGACTCCTAAACCAAAGTTACAGGACTATGGAATGTGAGGGCTCACAGAAGTTTTAGAATTTGAAGTAAAATTGCCTTGTATAATAAAGACAGCTATTATTTCATTTAGCAAGATGGGCAGAGGTAGCTCAGTTCCAGGACTGGTTTAATTCAGCAGTTCAGTGACTTGTGACTCCAGATCAACAACATCACTCTCATTCTCTTGGCTTTGTCTTCATGGTCACAGGAGGACTGCAGCAGTTCCACGCATCGTATTTTGTTCCTCAATGCCAAAAGGTCTGAAGGTGGGGGGCAGGGGGAAAGGCTCTGTCTCTTCTTCCATATTTTCTTAGGAGCAATATTTTTTTTTCCTAAGAAGTGGTTTTCCCCAACTCATGCATTACTGTCCAGAGAGAAGAGTTTCCCCCTCTCATGCATTACTCTCCAGAATTCCATCCAACGCTCATTCCCAAACCAATCATTGGGAAGAAAAATGGAATAACATAGTTCAGTAAGACTAAACAAGATTCACCTTACCTGAAGCACGTGGTTACTTGAATTAACACAGAGGGTGGAACTGCTAGTCAGAGCAATGGGTACAAATTATGAAATGGTGAAAAATGTTTGGATTCATAGGATGAGATCAGATGATGGAAACCCATAAGAAATACAGAGCCTGTAAATGTTTGAGTAGGGGAGAGGAACACATACAGGCACACATGCAAAGAGTCTGCTGGTGGTATGCAGGAGAGGTGGGCACTGGATGTGGGACTGGGAGTCTATGTGAGGCTGTGGAGAAGACCAGCTGTTGCTGTGACCTTGGTGGAATTTGCAAAGGGCTTGGTTTAGAAGTGGCAGTGGGTATGAAGGATGGGTAAACATAACGGTCTTTTGGAAGGAAAATTGGCAAGAGTGGGTGGCTGACTGGCCACAGAGAGATAAAGAAGGGGCTGAGTCAGGTTTCTGAACTATTTCTATGTCTATGACCAGTTGTTCTCTGTCCCTCTGGAGCCAGGATGGAAAGAAAAGTGCCAAATCCTGCAAAGAGACTTTAGGCAAGTTAAAGGAAAACTGGGAATTGTATGATAGGTTATTCAGGGGTATGTGCCTGAGTTCTTAAATTTGGTGCTTGGCTCTGTGATGTAACAATAACAGTGCCATTTATTGATAGTCTAATATGGTCTTCTGTTTTTTATTTATATTTATTTTTATTACAGGCAATTTCAAACATGCACAGAAGTAGAGAGAATGGTATCATGAACCTGCATTTACTATTAACAAGCTTCAGCATGGTGAAATCCTAGTCAATCTTGTTTCCTTTATTTGCTCACCTACACTCCCCTGTCTCACCCTTACCCAGGTTATTTTAAGAACAGCCTTTCTGAGACATAATTCACATAATATACAATTTATTTATTTAAAATGTACAATTCAATGGTGTTTAGTGTATTCACAGAGTTGTGCAACCATCACTGTAATTTTAGAGCATACATTTTCCCCAGAAGAAATCCTGTATCCTCTATTACCCCCATGACAGTTCCCTCCCCCTAGTATTAAGCAACCAGTAAGCTATTTTGTTTCTATAGATTTGCTCATTATGGACATTTTACATAAATAGAATCATATAATATGTGGTCTTTTATGACTGGCTTCTTTCTTTTTTTTTTTAATTTTACTTTAAGTTCTGGGATACATGTGATGAATGTGCAGATTTGTTACATAGGTGTACATGGGCCATGGTAGTTTGCTGCATCTATCAACCTATCACCTAGGTTTTAAGCCCTGCATGCATTAGGTATTTGTCCTGATGCTCTCCCTCCCCTTTCCCCTCACCCCCTAACAGGCCCCAGTGTGTGATGTTCCTCTCCCTGTGTCCATGTGTTCCCATTGTTCAACTCCCACTTAATGAGTGAGAACATGTAATGTTCGGTTTTCTGTTCCTTTGTTAGTTTGCTGAGGATGATGGTTTCTAGCTTCCTCCATGTCCCTGCAAAGGAAATGAACTCCTTCTTTTTTATGACTGCATAGTATTCCATGATGTATATGTGCCACATTTTCTTTATCCAGTCTATCATTGATGGTCATTTGGGTTGGTTTCAAGTCTTTGCTATTGTAAATAGTGCTGCAATAAACATACATGTGCATATATGACTAGCTTCTTTCAATTAGCATAATGTTTTTGAAGTTGTAGCATATATCTACTTCATTTTTTTATTGCTGAATAATACTCCATTGTACAGATAATCTACATTTTATTTGTCCATTTATCAGTTGATGAACATTTGGGTTGTTTGCACTTTTTGGCTATGATGAAGGCTGCTATGAACATTCATATACAAGTGGGTATATTTCGTTTATCTTGGGTATATACCTAGGAGAGAATTTTCTGCACTATATAGTATATCTGTTTAATCTTTTGAGGAACTACTAGACTGGTTTCCACAGTGGTTGCACCATTTTACATTCCAACTAGCAGTGTATATGTGTTCTGGTTTCTCTGCATTCTCTCCAAAACTTGTTATTATCTGTATTTTTAATTATAGCTATCCTAGTGGTTGTGAAGTGGCATCACCTTGTGATTTTTGTTTGCATTTCCCTGGTAGCTAAGGATGCTGAGCATCTTGTGTTATGCTTATTGGCCATTTGTATATATTTTTGGCAGAAATATTTATTTAGATAATTTGCACATTTTTTATATTGGTTGTCTTATTATTGAGATGTATAAGTTCTTTATATATTCCAGATACAAGTCCCTTATCAGATACATAACTTGTAAATATTTTCTCAATTCTATGGGTTGTCTTTTCTCTTTCTTGATGGTGTTCTTTGAAGCACAAAAGTTTTTAATTCTGAAGAATTCCAAGTTATCTGTTTTTTCTTTTGTTGCTCGTATTTGTAGTGTCATATCTAACACATACTTGCCTAATACAAAATCACAAATATTTATGCCTTTGATTTTTAAGAAAAGTTTTATAGTTTTAGCTCTTACATTTAGTTCTTGATGAATTTTGAGTTAATTTTTGTACATGGTATGAGGTAAGGGTCCCACCTCATTCTTTTGAATGGGCACATCCGGTTGTCCCAGCACCATCTGTTGAAAAGAATATTATTTTAAATGATTGAATTTTCTTGACTCTCTTATTGAAAACTCAATTGACTTTTGCTGCAATTCCTTTTGGCATCTTCCTCATGAAATCTTTTCCTGTTCCTATGTCCAGAATGGTATTGCCTAGGTTTTTTTTTTCCAGAGGTTTAATAGATTTGGGTTTTACATTTAAGTTTGTAATTCATCTTGAGTTAATTTTTGTATATGGTGTAAGGAAGGGATCCAGTTTTAATATTCTGCATATGGCTAGCCAGTTATCCCAGTACCATTTACTGAACAGGGAATCCTTTCCCCATTGCTTGTTTTTGTCAGGTTAGTTGAAGATCAGATAGTTGCAGGTGTGCAGCCTTACTTCTGGATTCTCTATTCAGTTCCATTGGTCTATGTGTCTGTTACTGTACTAGTGCCATGCTGTTTTGGTTACTGTGGCCCTGTAGCATAGTTTGAAGTTAGGTAGTGTGATGCCTCCAGATTTGTTATTTTTGCTTAGAATTGCCCTGGCTATTCAAGCTCTTTTTTGGTTCCATATGAATTTTAAAATAGGCTTTTTTTTGTTGTGTGAAGAATGCCAATAGTAGTTCAATAGGGATAATATTGAATCTATAAATTGCTTTGGGCAGCATGGCCATTTTAACGATATTGATTCTTCCTATCCATGAACATGGAATGATTTTCCATTTGTTTATTTCATCTCTGATTTCTTTGAGCAGTGTTTTGTAGTTCTCCTTGTAGAGATCTTTCACCTCCTTGGTTAGCTGTATTCCTAGGTATTTTATTCTTTTTGTGGCAATTGTGAATGGGATTGTGTTCAAAAGCAAAAAATGAAAAATGGGATCTAATTAAACTAAAGAGCTTCTGCACAACAAAAGAAACTATTAACAGAATGAGCAGACAACCTACAGAATGGGAAAAAACTTTTTCAAACTATGTATCTGACAAAGGTCTAATCACCCAGCATCTATAAGGAACTTAAAAAAATTTACAAGAAAAAACCCAAACAACTTCATTAAAAAGTGAGCAAAGGACATGAACAGACGCTTTTCAAAAGAAGACACACACACAGGCAACAATCATATGAAAAAATGCTCAACATCACTGATCATTAGAGAAATGCAAATCCAAACCACAGTGAGATATCACCTCACACCAATCAGAATGGCTTTTACTTAAAAGTCAAAAAATAACAGATGCTGGCAAGTTGCAGAGAAAAAGGAATGCTTATACACTGTTGGTGGGAGTGTCAATTAGTTCTACCATTGTGAAAGACAGTGTGGCAATTCCTCAAAAACCTGAAAACAGAAATACCATTGGACCCAGCAATCCCATTACTGGGTATACGCCCCAAGGAATATACATTTTTTATTTTAAAGAAACATGCATTCGTATGTTCATTGCAGCACTATTCACAATAGCAAATACATGGAATCAACCTAAATGACCATCAATGACAGATTGGATAAAGAAAATGTAGTACATATACACCATGGAATACTATGCAGCCATAAAAAAGAATGAGATCATGTCCTTTGCAGGAACATGGATGGAGCTGGAGGCCATTATCCTTAGCAAATTAAAATTTGAACAGAAAACCAAATGCTACATGTTCTCACTTATAAGTGGAGCTAAAGATAAGAACACATGGACACATAGAGGGGAACAATATACACTAGAGCCTATCGGAGGGTAGAGGGTGGGAGGAAGGAAAGGATCAGGAGAAATAACTAGTTTAATACCTGGGTGATGAAATAATCTGTACAACAAACCCCCATGACACACGTTTCTGTGTAACACATCTGTACATGTACCTCTGAAGTTAAAAAAGAAGTTAAATTAAAAAAACAAAACAAAACAGAAGGAAAATCAATTGTCTATCTCCACCAATTACTTTGAAGCAAATCCCAAACATCATGTCAATTCACCTGTAAATACATCAGTAGATATCTCTTAAGATTCAATGCTTTTGCACTGTATTTATCTAATCCCTGATCCTCACAACAACCATCAAGATACCAGTGTTCACATTTAACAGAAAAGGATACTGAGGCTTGGAAGTGCTGGGTAACTTGTCTAAGATTATGCAGCTACTGAAGAGACAGAGCTAGATCCAAAGGCTATGCCCTTCCTATGACACCGTCATCCAATGCAGCCAAAACACAGTGAAATATAGTAATAGCAAGGGCAGCATGACTCAGGCAACCCTTGTCTTCAGTTCCTTAAAGGTATCATTTAACTCGTTTACTTTCTTCACTGGCATCATCACCATTTTTATTTGCCCTTCATCTAGTATCCTATTCATCAGGAGGCAGAAAGACAGCTCTCTAGAAATCTGTAAATTACCTCTGCAGAACACAGAGAAAAAAATGTGAGCTAGAAAAATCAAAACCTTGGGGCAAAAGTCTGTGAATTTGTATCAATCTCAGAGGTGATACTCTTCATTCTGAAGTGAGGAATGGGTTGAATAATCTTAATTTTCAAATAGAATTTGAAATTTTGCTTACTAGAAGGAAGACTTGAATTACCAAATATTAGAATTGAAAGACATCTTCAGTAGTTTGACAGAATTTTATTTCACACATGTCCATTGGCTTTTCAAAGGTAATACCATGAGTTAGTGGTGGAAACGGGAGTCAAGGGCAGGTGCTCTGATTCCTCTATTAGGGAACCTCAGATGTTTGGGGGTGTAGAGCTTACTGGGCATGAAGTGGCAGATGAGCTGCCCTCACCCCGTAAAGGATAATCTTATGAGACTCTAAATAAATTGCAGGAATTCAGAAAAGGGAGAAAAATCACTGATGATTGGGATTTTTCTGAACCTGCCCATGAGGCACAGTAATTTTCAAAGATCTATAAGGTAACAATCAATTCATCTTCTGAGTCAGAGGTAAGATATATAATCCAGGAATTGGAGAACATCAGGCAGATTCTGTCATCTTTCCAATAAGGCAAAGAAAGAGTTGGGCTCAGACCCAATTTCAATGTACTGCCTAGGACACTTCAGAAATACTGTAGAGAGACCGTGGGTTTGAAATAACTGAGGTGAAGAAGAGAGGTATAGCCTACGCAAGAATGATTTAGGAGCTACACCAGAAGCCAGATTCCCACCAAGGAGGGCAGTGTAGAGGAGGGGACATCAAATAATGACATCACCTTTTGGACACTTTAGTGTCTTCCACCCAGCCCCTTTCTATACCTCAAGCAGCAGGTGCTTCTGGGAAAGGTCCTAATGGCACTTAGTGTAGGTGTTGTAGCAAGGCTTCAGGATCAGCTAGACCAATGTTCACATCCTAATTCCTTTACTATCTAGCTATGTGATCGTAGGCAAGTCATTTCACCTCTCCGAGCCTCAGTTTCTTCCTCTGTTCAAAGGAGAATGTTGTGAGGATTAACTGAGACAATAGTATAAAGCACGCAGCACAGCTCCAGGCACATAGCAGATGTTTCACTTGAGATTTTTTTTCTGTCCCCACTCCTTAGTCTTTAACAGCTTAGTGTGAGTTTTGGTCTTCATGTCCCTTAAGACCTATATCTTTCAGGATAGAATTAGGTATTTCATTCTCCTATTGAGAGATTTTAGACCTAAAGGGGCAGCCCTGCTGAGGAACCTGAGGCCAGAGTACTCAGGGCAGAGTCAATGTCTGGACTCTCCATTCAATGCTTCCTCCTGGGCGTCACTGTGGTGTGCCTGGGATGCTGGTTGCCATGACCACCTAATTATTTCCTCTAGGTCTGACCACCATGACAAAGTGAAATACTTAAACACTTGCCAAACTCCCAGCCAAACAAGCAGCAGCTGTCCAATTTGAAAAAACATCATTCCTGAACAATAATGTTTGGTTTCCCATCAATCATGTGGACTCATCCACAGAAATGGCTGTAGGGAGAGGCAGCTGTGGGGAAGCCAAGAATAGGAGCCGGAGAACAGAATGGAGCCAGGCTTATGTTCTGTGTCTCCCGTGGATGAACCATGCAGGAGTCACTCTTTGCCCACATGACATACTGATTAATTTATGGAGCCACTAAGTATGTTCGATTGGTCTTAGGACAAGCTCTGACAACTATCCAGTAACAGTGGAGGGCAGAGAGAATGGCTTTTTGAGTCAGACATCGGTGTCAATACCACTTTTGCCTCTGACTTGCTGGGTGACTTTGCCAAATTCACTTCTCTGAGGTTTAGTTTGCTCATATAAAATGAAGGTAGGAATGCCTGCCCCATGAAGTTGTTGTGGGATTAAAGCAAAAAGCTTTAAGGATTTGGACAGCTTGGACCTAGTAAGCCCTTGAAGAATGCTAGCTATAAATTTATTTTTGAATCACAACACAGTCTAATATACCTACTCTTCCACAGTGTATCAAGATTAATGACTAATTTTGAGAAGTACCGAATCCCATCCTAACAAATGGTCTCTTACAAATTATTTAGTACAACATTATTCTTTTATGGAGGAAATGATTGTGATCCAGAAAGGCTCAGACATTTGCCTGAGATCACACAGCTAGTTAATGGCAGGGCTAGGGTTAGAATGCCAGGTTCCTAACATCCAACCTAATACTTTTCCCAGCATCCTTCAAAGTTTAGAAAAGAGAAGGAGGGAAGAGAATTAGCATTTACTGGGGAGCATTTATTATTCATAAATCTTCCTCATAAATGTTGTTATTTAATCATTATAGCAACAATAGAATGTAAGTGATTTTATCCTTATTTTAAAATGAACAAACTAGAATTTAAGCTGTAAAGAGCAAGAACTGTGTCCTTCTTTTTTTTTTTTCTTTTCTGTATCCTTAGCAGGCAGAACAGTGCCTGGCATGTAGTAGGTGCCCAGTAAGTATTTTTGAATAAGTCAGATAGCTAATAAATGTTAGAGCCAGGACTTGAAATCTGCCTGACTATAAAGCCCATGATTTTATTGAACTGGCCTTGAACTAGGATGTAGAAAGGAAGAAAGAAGAAAAGGCTCAAACGACTTTGAGAAAGGTTTTAATGTAGGTGGGTTTCAATGTATTGAACTAGGCACATTTCTAGAAATTATTTCATTTATTTTTCACATCCACCAAGGTTAAGTGCTTTCTTTTTTAAACATATGAGGAAACAGAGATGCAGAAAACTTCAGTGATTCTTCCAAGGTAAAACAGTGAGTCAGAAAAATAAGGGCTCAGATTCCAGTTCCAGACTTTCACCTCCATCCTGGGCTCTTCTCATCCATCACAGTGGCTTATAGACTGCATCCAGAAGGAGGCTTCTGATGGGCCAGGAACATATCTGGCCTGCCATACAATGGGAGGCAAGCATTGCCCCTCCAGGCTTGCCACTGAATGTTGATCAGGATGCCCAGATCTGTGGTGGCCCTCTAGGACCAGAGGCACAAAAATAGAAAACCAGTAAGTTGAGGGTGGCTGGATACTTGGGAATTCTGTTGGGGCTAGCATCAAATCTGGGAGCTCTCTGCCTCCCCACTCCTAAATTCAATACTTAAATTCTCTGTTTCTTAAGATTTTATTAGTTGACATTCTGTTATCTGTAGCCAAAACCACTTCTAATATGCTGTACTTCTCTGGAGTGAGAGTGCAGTAAAGACTGTGGCATTTATTGTCCATTTTCTAATGAACAGGTGCTATGGTCTGAATGTTTGTGTCCCCCCAAAATCCATATGTTAAAACCTAACCCCTATGGTGATGGCAGTAAGAGGTAGGGCCTCTTAATTAGGTCATGAGGGCTCTGCCCTCATGAAAGGGATTAGTGCTCTTATAAAAGAGGCCTGAAGTGGCTTCCTCACCCCTTCCGCCATGTCACAACACATAGAAGGTGCCATCTATGAACCAGGAAATGGGATCCCACCAGACACCAAACTGACGGGTACCTTGATCTTGGAGTTCCCGTCCTCTAGAACTCTGAGCAATAAATTTCTGTTGTTTATAAATTGCCCAGTCTAAACTATTTTGTTCCAGTGGCAGTCAAGCTAAGACTATCTTAGTCTTAGCCTAAGACAACAGGCAGATCTTATTACTTCCAGAATTCTTAGTGTTCATATTTTTATTAGTGGGAGGTATTTGTTGGTTGAAAGTATCAGAAAAGAACTGAAGCTAACTTGTAAGAATGAGAGGAAACTGTTATAGGAATAAGGGGTGTCTCATGACACCCTTATTATAAATACAGGAATTTAGCTGAGCCTTGCAGTGGCCTAAAACCAAGATCTCAAATGCATTTGGCAATCTGTTTCTCTCCAATGTTTGCTGTTCTGTGTGCTTCATACTTCTCTATCTTTGAAAAAACAGACTTTTTTTCAAAGTCTTTGAAAAATAGACTTTGTCATCATCTATATTTATATGTAACAAATTTAACCACCAGGGAAGAGACTGAATCTTAAGCCAATACAAATTTCTACAAGAGCAGATGTGATTGGCCACACTTGGATCTTGTGCCCACTGGTGTAACAACCAGCTCTGTGCAGATCACAGAAGGATCACAGAGTATGAACTTGGCTTCTTAGGTCTGATCCCCATACATCATGTATATGATGAAGCAGGGGAGTTCTGAGAATAGAGGGGCTGGGGAGACAACCCAGAAGGTATCTATCATAAAGTCTTATCTCCTCTGTCTTCTTGAGGCATTCAGTGCTAGTTTTGGCTATTATCAAGGCTAAGTGGCAACCCTGCCTTTACTGCAGTTTGGTCACTCATTCATTTAACATTGAACAGGCTGGATTCCAGACATCAAGCATGGAGCAATGGACTAAGCTGGGAGTCACTGCCCTCAGAGGTCTTATGCTTTCCCCCTTCAGGTATATATGGTCTCCTATATCCTTCTAATAAGTCATCCCTTTACCTAAGCTTATTTCAGATGGGTGTTTGTCACTTCCCATCAAAGGAGTTTTGACTAGTAGAGAAATGGGTGCTGGAAGTGGAACGTTCCCACTGACAGCCCCCCATAGGGAGTTGTTAGGATGCTGCCATATGGAATTGGGATATTTGCCATCTTTGTTAGGTGGTATGAAAATCAGTTGGTTAAAGAATTGTCAGTTGTCTGCTAAACTCAGCATTTTGTGAACTCAGAGCATTATTCATAAAATAGGAACATTAGGTGACCTGATAGAAAATGTCAAAATATTTCCTACTTCTAATAAGTTATTGATTTTGGCTCATTTGATAGCAGATAGAGAATAGCTGGGTAGGTTTACAGCTTTGTTTAAAGAATTAATTTGTTTCTGTCTGTAGTTGGCAATTTGAACTATAGAATCAGATAAGCAAGTGCCTTAAGAATACAGCCTCAATATTTGTTAGTGCATCGATTAGGATATTGGATGTCTGGGAGGATTCGGAAGAATCAAGGAGACCTGATGCTCCAAAATTGCTTCAGCACTCTGCTCTTGTATCCTTGTGTCTGGAAAAGTTGAAAATGCACATTTAGATGAATAGTGAAATGGAGACAGCAGCCACATGGTAGGAAATATTAGCTTTGCCCCACTACTCCAGCCTTTTGTTCTTCAAACTTAGAGGCAGAGGCCAATAAGCTAAGAGTTAGAGAGATGTACAGAGTCCTCAGATTTGATGCTGAGAAACTGACGCTACAAAAGTAAGATCCAAATTCAGAAATGAAACTTTGCTAATTTTTCTGGTATTGGCTGCCAGCAAACAGTCCATGTGTCTTCTGTGCCCTCCCCATGCAATCAATAGGTATGGATGACAAAGGACTTAAAACAATTGTACTGCAAGAAATGTTCAAGCTTGGTAAACAGAGACCTGTGGTTGTTTGTTCAAACATTAAAGCTGCCCTTAGTCCACATTCATGATCCAAATAGAAATGAATTACTCAGGTGGTATAGTCTTCTATAATGAAATCCTCCTCAATTTTCCTCTTGGTTTGGGCACTGATTGCACTGGCCAAAGGAAGTTTTCCCAGGGGGGTAGAACCCAGGGTGGCCTGAATGACTGGTCAAGGAACAAACAGATATCAATGAGAGTGAGTGATCCAACAGAATCCAGAGGACACTCTGTCGTGGTGACTCAGTATCATGTTGCTTCCCCGGCCCTCATTAAGAGAGTCTTCATATCCTTTATTTTCATGACCTTTGGATAATTAATATATTGGGTAGTTATTATTGGGTGCATTATTTATTATGTAGGCTGCAAAATTTCAAGAAGTCTCAGTGAGCTATGTTAAAGAGGAAGAATCAGCATTCACCAGACAACTTGGCTTGAAAATCACTGGCATCTGGAGTCGGCAGCTGGATGGGGATTTAAGTTTTCTCCTATTGGGAAACTATTGACTTTGGATGAAATGAAGTAATTT
This sequence comes from Homo sapiens, assembly GCF_000001405.40. Classification (NCBI taxonomy): domain Eukaryota; kingdom Metazoa; phylum Chordata; class Mammalia; order Primates; family Hominidae; genus Homo; species Homo sapiens. The sequence goes on along the minus strand of NC_000001.11, from coordinate 59,159,420 downwards.
GTGTGACAATAATAATAGCTAATATGTATTAATTCCTTACTATATGCCAGGCGCTGGTCTAAAGCTTTGTGTTCATGAGTCATTTAATTGTCCCAACTATCCGATGAAGTAGGTTCTATTACTATCTGCATTTTAAATAGGCAGTTAAGTGCCTTGCTTAAAGTTGAACTGAGAATCTATGGTTTGGGTTCTTACCTACTATACTGTATTTCTTTTTAGGTAACTTACCTTACAGGATTTTGCTTTTTTCCCCCTCCTATCTCCTACTACTGCATCTTCTTGGCAGCCTACTTCCACCAATATTTTGAGGTGCAACTTACATACAACAGCCAGTTCAAATTGATGAGTTTTGACATATGTTTACATCCATGAAAACATCACTGCACTTCAGATAAGAAGGAACATATCCATTACTCCCCACCCACACTTTTCTCATGTTGCTGTAATCTATCCCTTTCCCTTTTCACTCCAATCCCTAAGTGATCACTGATCTCCTTTCTGTCACTATAGATCAATTTGCATTTTTGAGAATTTTATGTAATTGATAGCATACAGTATATATTCTTTATTTTCTGTCTTCTTCCACTCAGCATAATTATTTTGAGATCCATCTATGATCAATAATTTGTTTTTATATGTAACTATTATTTCATTATATGGCTGTTCCTATGTATGGTGGTATACATCACAGCACAATTATAATTGCTGTGAATACTTATGTCCAAGTCTTTATGTAAATATGTACTTTAAATAAATATCTAACAATGCAATGTCTGGGTTGCATGGTAGGTGTATGTTTAACTTCTTAAGAGACAGCTTAATGGTTTGCCAAAGTGGTTGTTTTATTTTACATTTTCACCAGCAGTGTTTGAGAGTTCCAGTTGCTCTGTATCCTCACCAACACTTGATATAATTAGTCTTTCTAATGTTAGCCATTTTAGCAAGTGTGCAGAGGTATTTCATTGTGATTTTAACTGGTGTTTTTCTAATGAATAATGATGTTGGACATCCTTTCAGTGCTTGTTTGCCATCTACATTTCTTCTTTGCTTCTTCAAATATTTTGTCCCTTTTATCTACATTTGGTAGTTTCATTTTATTATTATTATTGGTTCTAGCTCTTCCCTTTGGAATTTGCTTCCTTTTCTCAAAGAGGATATTCTACAAATTAGAACACATATGAAGGAGGTACACGTGGTTTAGTAGACAGGGCACAAGTTTGGAAATGATCAGGTATATCTGGACATGAATTCTAGCTCCACTACTTGATAAATTATGTCTCCTTGAGCAACTCAGTTAATGTTCCTAAGCTTTAAGGTAACTTGTCTGTAAAGTGGACCTAGTGAACCCACCTCCTAGTATTTCTATAAAAAATAAGTGAAACACTCTTCTTTAACAAATGTAAGAATGATTAGAATCCCTTCAATGCCAGTTAATCATGTAAAATATCTAGAGTGGCATCGTGCTTATTATTTCCTATTTTCTCTCTTCTTCCCTTTTGTACATACAATATATACACTTTTCTTTTTTTTTCTTTTTCTTTTTTTTTTTTTTTTTTTTTTTGAGATGGAGTTTTGCTCTTGTCACCCAGGCTGCAGTGCAATGGCATGATCTTGGCTCACTGCCAAGATCACAACCTCTGCCTCCCAGGTTCAAGCGATTCTCCTGCCTCAGCCTCCCCAGTAGCTGGGACTACAGGAGTGTGCCACCTATTAAAAATTAATTAATTAAAAATTAGCATGCCTGGCTAATTTTTGTATTTTTAGTAGAGACAGGGTTTCACCGTGTTGTCCAGGCTGATCTTGAACTCCTGACCTCAAGTGATCCGCCTGCCTCGGTCTCCCAAAGTGCTGGGATTACAGGCATTAGCCACCATGCCCAGCCTTAAATACACTTTTTGAAAGAGGTTTATTATACACAAACACACCTGACACACCCCAATAATACCATACCCCAATACTACCTGCTGTGGTACCAGTCTCTCACCAGGGATTCAGGAACCCTCTGATCTGAGGCTCCTCTTCTTTGGACATCCTGTTTTTTCCCACTGCCCTCATCCCTTTCTGAGTCCCTCCTTGTTTATATCTTGCTCAGACAGAAAACAAAAACAAAACCAAAATGGTCATTAAAAAATGTGTGTTGTTTTTTAAAGCAATGGTAGAGAATTCCCAGTCTCTCTGTCCGCAGGGGCTTAAGATACAGATGGTCATCAACAGCTAACAAGAAGGTTTGTTTCCCTCCATTGTGCAAAAAGCTTAGTAGTAGCTCTCTGGATCTCTACTCTTGCCCGTGAGTTTCCATGGGAGCTGAGCTGCCTTTGCTGTGTTCTTGGTGGGGGAAGGGCAGGGTTGGGAGACTCGGGCAATAGCTATTGCCCCTGGCTCTCTGACAAGAAAAGAGCAGCTTCCAGACGGGGTTCAACCTGAAAAAAGGCTCCCCTGCTGTGCGGGAATTATTCACTCTAGGTTATGCTTCCTGTGCAGTAACATCAAATATTCCCGGTGGCTGCAGAAGTTCAGGATTTGACAGCTTAACTGTTTCATGCCCAGTCTGCATGAGCTACAATAGCCCCTGCCATACAATGCTGTGCATGTAATGGATGCCCTGTCATGGTGGTTTTCTTCCTCATTCTGATTTCCAGCCTCAAACAGGTATTGGGGCCATCTCTTGATGTTGCTCTGTGGTTGATGTCCCTGAGGTTTTATATGTGTCATCACTACAATCCTCCCAGGGGCTACTTCTTCATGCCTTTAATTCCTGTGAGGCTCATTCCCTGAGTCCCACCCATCCTGGACGAGCCCAACAGCTGGCTTTGTAGAAGGGTCCAAGGGGTCCTTGAATATCATAGTCTCATTTAAAACAACAACAAAAAAAACGCATTGTCCTCCTAGTGTTTTGGGGCTTGGGCCTTTTCCGTAGAATTTTGGTATTCTCTACTCTGAGGAAATATTGTATTGAAAAGGTCAGTGAGATATCTGAGACAGCCATTTCTCTCACTAAGTGGAAATCTAGTTCCTTTCGTGGAGAAATTCACACAAAAAAGGCATAGATTACAAAGGGCACAATGGCAGGAGAAGTTGCATTAAACCCAGAGTCCTGCAAGATGCCACAGAAAGACTGGCTTAGACTCAAATGCTAATAGCCCTGCTGATGAGCATAGACTACATGAATACACAGAGACTGCGAGGACAACTTATGCACTCTCTCTCCAGCTGGCAGGAGCAATCTTCCTGGAACAGCTCCCTTCTACCTCCCATCCTCTCTGTGCTTAAAAACTTCCGGGAATCTTACTTCCTGCCCCAAACCTTTTCAGACAAATGAATGGATTGAGAAATTACCCTTCACAGAAACTTCAGTGCCTTACCTTCAGACAAAATAATGAAAAAACAAAACAAAATATTAAATTAAAAATTTTTGAGACAGGGTCTTGCTTTGTCACCCAGACTGGAGTGCAGTGGTGCAATCATAGCTCAGTGCAGCCTGGAACTCCTAGGCTTAAGTGATCCTCCCACCTCAGCCTCCCAAGTGGCTGGGACTACAGGCATGTGCCACTGTGCCTTGCAGTAAATTAATATTTTATAGAGCAAAGTGGGAAGACTAGAAATAATACCAGACAGAGTTTAAGGCACATCCAGAGAGTGAGGATAAGAAAGAGGACTTGCTGAGGGCTGAGAAAGTGCCAGGCCCTCTCTATGCTAGGCCTAGTCTCACACATCTTCCCCTTCAACCCTCATGACAGTCCTTTGGAATAAAGATTATAATCTTCAGTTTATGAGTGAGGGGATAGAGGCTCACAGAGTTTGGAGAATTTGTCTCAGATAACAAAGTGATTTGTACAGACCTAGGATTTCATCACAAGTCTGTCTGATATCCAAAGCTCATGGATTTTTTCCTGCATGCTTTTTAGCAACCTCTCTGGTCTCCAGCTATGTGTGCGTCAGACCCTGAGGCAGTGCTAGGCCCACCCATACTTGTTTTCTCCATTCTTCACAGTTTTTCTGAAGAGACTCATAAGCTGGTTGGAGCTACTCCTTGGGGAGGTGGAGTTTTCCCTCTCCTCTCCTGGACTCTTGACAGGTCCCCTGAGGGTCATGGGCCCTTGTAGAGGACAGTACCTCCTTACCATGCTCCCACCATGAGGAGCAGGGTCTGAGTCTTCCTGTTTCAGACCTGACACTGCTGGTTCCAGTCATTCCTTCAATTCCTATTTTTTGTTGTTTTGCTGGTGGTGTGTATGTTTGCTGGTTTGTTGGTCTGAGAGCAGCTCTGTACTCAAATTTAATTTGGTGAATGAAGATAAATGACGTGCCCTGAGTCCACTGACAAGCCTTCTCCAACTTAGGTTAGTGGTCTGCCCACTTCTTCTTCTTTTTTTTTTTTGAGATGGAGTCTCCTTCTGTGGCCCAGGCTGGAGTGCAGCGGCGCGATCTCAGCTCACTGCAAGCTCCTCCTCCCGGGTTCATGCCATTCTCCTGCCTCAGCCTCCCAAGTAGCTGGGACTATTGGCACCCGCCACCACGCCCAGCTAATTTTTTGTATTTTTTAGTAGAGATGGGGTTTCACCGTGTTAGCCAGGATGGTCTCGATCTCCTGACCTTGTGATCCGCCCGCCTCGGCCTCCCAAAGTGCTGGGATTACAGGCATGAGCCACTGCGCCTGGCCAGTCTGCCCACTTCTTTAAGGGGTTCACTTCCCAGAAGCCTCTCTTGGCAATTTTGAATAAGGGGTTCATTTCCCAGAAGCCTGTCTTGACAATTTTGAATACTAAGAATACCAAGATAAATGAGTCACAGTCTTGGCCTACTACTAGTTCCCAAAGAAATGGGAGCCATTCTAGGTATTTCAAGCAGAAAGGATTTTAATAGGGGGATTAGATGTTTATAAAATCATCCCAAGGGCTGGAAGAGTGGATTGTAGGCTCTAGCAAGGACTTCCAGAGACAGCTACTACCTGCGCTCCATCAGGAAGGGAGAATGTAGTAGCCCAAAACTGTTGAACTACTGAGTTTTAGATTCTTGAATCTGTAACATACCACATACTTGCATTCTAAGAATCAGCAATCCAGCATAGGAAGCTGTTACTGCTGCTATTAAAACTAACTCTTGACGACTGTAAAACTGTCGATTTGTTACTAGAATATGATGCAAAAAAAAAATTCATGTCTCCACAACTCTGTTCACCAATAGAAAATATCTGAAGCAGCAAGAAACTTTGCTTTGCTTCATATCCTGTATGTGTGTAACTGTTGGTGGAACTTAATTTGCATCCAGAACCTTATCTGCAAGGAAGTCTGGAAAATGGACTCATAGCGTAGAAGATGAGAATGGATATTGGGGGAATATCTAACAGTGTCTGTCACAAACTTATGCACACTATGTAAGGCATGGTAGGTCACAAAGAAGGAAGAGACCATTTCTATCTGGAGATTCAAACAAAGTGCAGAGAAAACACTCAGATTGGGCCTTGAAGAATATCCTGTAGAAGTCTGCCTTAAAGAGGGCTAAAGGACATTTAGGGCAGAGTAAACTTATGTGTTAGACAAGGCAAGCATAGTGCACCTAGAACCATCCTGCACTTCCAGACAAGAAACAGAAGGGAGAAAAAGGAGCAGAGTGAACAATGCTATTTGAGTGGGGGCAGGGCCCAGGTCAAGGCAGGCCTCATATAACATCCTCAAGAGCCCAGACTTTCTCCTAAGTGATGGGAGACCTTTGGAAGGATTCATGCAGAAGGACAACAAAATGAGATGGTGTTTTAGTCCGTTTGTGTTGCTATAAAGAAGTACCTGAGACTGGGAAATTTCTTAAACAACAAACAAAAGCACTTTGGGAGGCCGAGGCAGGCGGATCACGAGGTCAGGAGATCGAGACCATCCTGGCTAACACGGTGAAATGAAACCCCGTCTCTACTAAAAATACAAAAAATTAGCCGGGTGTGGTGGCAGGCGCCTGCAGTCCCAGCTACTCGGGAGGCTGAGGCAGGAGAATGGCGTGAACCCAGGAGGTGGAGCTTGCAGTTAGCCGAGATCATGCCACTGCACTCTAGCCTGGGTGACAGAGCGAGACTCTGTCTCAAATAAATAAATAAATAAATAAATAAATAAATAAATAAATAAAAGGTTTATTTGGTTTATGATTCTGCTGGCTGGAGGACTGGACACCTGGTGAAAGCCTCAGGCTGCTTCTATTCGTGGTGAAAGGCAAGAAGGAGCCTACATGTGCAGAGATCAAATTGCAAGAGTGGAAGCCAGAGGGGAGTGAGCAAACTCTTTTAAACAACCAATTCAGAGCAGTAGTAACAGAGCAAAACTCATTCACCTCTCTCCATGCTGGAGAGCATTAATTTATTCATGAGCTATCCACCTCCCTGACCCAAACACCTCCCATTAGGCCCCACCTCCAACATTGACCCCCAACATTGAGGATCATATTTTAACAGGTTTCTGGGGACAGACATCCAAACTATAGCAGATGAGTTTTAGAAGGGTCACTCTGGATCCTGTCTGGAGGACGCATTGAGAAGGGGAGAAATCAGAATAAAGGGAACACTTGGGAGGATATTGCCATATAGTAGACTAGACATAGTACCTAAACTAGATCTCTGGATGCTGGGATGATGTAGAGAAGTCCTGGAATATATCAGGAAGTTGACTCAATAGGAGTCAATCAAGCTAAAGAAATTGGGAACAATTATTGCTTTTATACTATGCACCAGACTCTATTCTATGCACTTTGCATGTACGAACTAAGTAGGTTCTATTGTCATTCCAAGTCTACATATGCAAAAACTGCAGCACAGCTCACAGCTGGCAAATGGCAGAACCAGGATTTGAAACCAGGTAGTCTAGTTTTACAAAACAAATGCTTACTTTGCTCAATCAGTTCCTCTGATTAATGTTAAAATCTGCTTTCCTATACCTTATGAATCTTCATCCCACTTATTAATTCTGGTTTGGGCCAGAATCAGAAGTTTTCATTTTTAACCCAGAAGTTCATGGATGAATTTCTGCAAATCTAGTGAACCCTGAAATTGTAAAGAAATTTTAATGATTTTTTAGCATTTGTGTATTATTTACTGGGAAGTGGTAGAAAAGCTTTTCGACAGATTCTCCAATGGGTCTTTGATCTAAAAATACACTTGTGAACATTGCTTTAGAGCAGGGGTTCTCAAAGTGTGATCCTGGAGCCAGCAGAATCAGCATCTCCTGGGTATTATTGGGAATGTAGGGCCTATCCCAGACCTACTAAATCAGAAACTCTGGGAGTGGGACCCAGAAATCTGTGTTAATAAGTCTTCCAGATGATTCTGATGTGTGCTCAAGCTTGATAACCACTGCCCTAGAGCAAACATAAACATGAATAATGTGGCAATAGGGTCTGTTCACTGGCCTGGGTGAGACATTCATAGTGGATGTGATATCAAGGAGGGGAGAGCAAAATCACAGAAGGCTGAGATCTTCTTTGGATACTCTCAGGAAGGAAACACTGAGACATAAACTTTGAACTGAGCCAATATTTTGGACAAGGCACTCACGTAGGACTTCCATGGAGCTCAGAACAGGCATTTCTGGGAGATGCTGAGCTCTTGACTTGCAGCTTAGAAGATGCAACCTGTAGAATCATGCATCATTCCCAAATCCCTTGGAGGCTAGCCGTCCCCCTCTCATATACAGTTTCTTCTAGGGCTAGAGTTTAGATATCTTGTTTCATCCAAGGTACACAGACCTCTAATGACATTTCACAGAGGATATTTTCCTGGACTCCCAGGGCATTTAGTATCACTGACACCCTAACCACTCACTGTAAGGTGCCAGGGCCCTGGCCCATACATTTGCCCGGCAACACAACAGCTGTGCACTCTGTGCAGGATTCATGCCTGCAATGCCAGTCTCTTTCAGCATCTTCCTTGAAACACAAAAAGGTCCAGAAACAACCTGCAGTGCTTGGCAATGGAAGCGGTGAGGATCCCTGTGCCCTACTCCCTTGCAGCCTGTCCTCTCCCAGGATCCAGGCTCGGCCTCTTTCTTTCCGCTAAGTCACAAAGCTGGAAAGTGCTGCGGGTAGGGAGAGAGCCTGTGCCTGCTGGTTGGCTTGGAAAGGTTCTGGGAATTCATTATGATCTAAACAACTATTCCAGTTATTCATGTGACTCAGCCCCTGAAATCAGGATCATCCTGTGTCCACAGGGCCGGGTGTTGCTGACTCAGTGCTGAAGAGGGCACCTTGTCAGCCCTCCTAGGCTCCCAACTCCCCCTCTCCCTCCCCTTCCTCCCCAGAGGACACTGAAGGAAAGCAGATGCGTGAGTAAGCTTCTCAGCCTGTTCAGTTTCATTTTTAAACAAGCAACCAACCTCCTCCCATTCTAGCTTCTCACCGCACACATCTGTCAGTCTTCTGTGCATTTTGGTGGGGAAGCAATCACAGTCACTTATGCATCATGCATTCACATATGCATTTAGCACAGGTTTAGCCACACCTACTGTGTGTGCAGCTGATTGCTAAGGGCTCAGATCCAGAGATAGACATGGGCTATATCTGCCCATAACATTCAGGGGTCTAGTGGGGAAAATGCATTAATGGACATTAAGGATGTAATGGAAAAAGCCCTGTAGCAGAGTGCTTTTAACTCTATGGAGAGCTTTGAGATTGCTGAGCTGCAAGTGCCAACCCTTTTTAGGTGTCTGGCATTCCTCTTCAACAAGCAGCAAAATTCATAGACTGTGGTTGGGAACTACTTCATCTATGAGAACTAGAGAGAGAAGAAAATTCCAGGAACCAACATGGCACAAGAGAGGGCTTTCTGGAAGAAGGCTGAAGAAGGCTGAAAGGGTGTGGAGACTAAAGTGGCAAGTTTTACAGTTTTCCCCAAGGGCCTTTCTTTCTTTTTTTTTTTAATATCTACAATTTTTATTTGTAAATTTGAAACACGTAAAATGGAAAAGGAAAATAGGAAGAGAAAAAGAAAAAAAATATATATGTATATATATAACCTAGTGTAATAGTTTGAGCGTTTTTTGTTTTTGTTTTTGTTTTTTGTTTGTTTTGTTTTTCCCTGAATATCTCCTTTTAGGTGAATTCCATCCATCCAGTTACTCCACTGTGGTACATCATACCTCTCTAGATTTGCAACACAGATGATTTCATGAGATTCCCCTTCATCACTGTCTTGGGTTGTTTCCACTCTTTTCTCCATTACATCTTCAATCTTTGTTGTTTTATTCCCCAGTTCCACTGGTGGTGGAAGGTGGGGGGGAATCCTCAATATATGGTCAAAAGTAGATAAGTGGCAATAAAATTAAGAGTTAAATTATTTTTTCTTAAACATAGAAGCAGTTTTCCCATTGTCTTTTAATTGCCAGTTGGAGAAATTTTTTTAATAGTTTCATTCTTGTCCTTTTCTTAAGTCTGATACACACTATGTACTAAGCACGATGGCACAATTTTCCCAAAATAGTAAACTGCTTGAGCTTTCCTTCCTCATTTGATGGGGGAAAGGTGGAGTGAAAAAAAGAAAGATCACATGCTGTTGAATGAAAATTAAAGAAAATATTACATGTAAAGTATCATATCTCATTAACTACTAAAAGAATACACACGCGCACACACACACACACACACACACACAGTAGGTACAGAAAGCTTAAGTAGCCTCACTGAGTGTGGCTGAGCCGAGATTAGGGCCTGTGTTGTTGCCACTTACAAACTTACTGTACATGTAGGTACATAACGCAACGAGATGCTCAGATCCCATTTTACAGATGGGAAAACTGAGACTTGGAGAAGTTGAGTAACATCTCCAAAGCCATACAAATAGTAGGTGAGGTGGCAGGCCTTCAGACCCAGGTGTATCTGAATTCAAAGTCTGGGCCCTTTCTGCCACACCATCCTGTTTTTGTCTTTTTTTTTTTTCTTTCCCTTTGTGAGACCAGATTTCATTTCTCTTTAGGATCTAGTTTGAACCTCTATAAACATGGAATCTGATACCATTGTCATCCAGGATTATGATTTTAATCCATTGCAACATTAGAATTAGAATGCTTAAGCTTAACCCCAAGCATACTTCCTTATATTCATTCATTCATTCAATACATTTATATTGAATATTCATCTGTTTGTGCCAGACCCAGGTCCCAAGAAAAGAGCAACGAAAAAGACAGGCAGGCAGGGTCCTTTCTCCTTGTGGACCATTGAGCATAACAGGGAGAGAAAAATGTGAAGTAATAGTTACACAACTGATCAGTTTATTACAACCGTAGTAAATGGTATTATAATGATAGCTACACTTCCATTGTTTACTATGTGCCAGTACCTATCCTAGGCAATGTACATATATTAACTCATTTCATTCTCATAGGCATACGAAGGAAGTAGAGAAATCAAGGAAGGCTTCTTGAAGGAAGTGTCAGCTCAGTCTGGAAGCAGAAATTATATTAAGGAGAGGGAGTTGGGGAGGAACATGAGTATCCTAGGACTGTGCTGGCCAGGTAATCCTTAGCTACATGAGGCTATGACACATTTGAAATGTGGCTAGGCTGAATTGAGGTGGGCTATAAATGTAAAATACATACTAGGTTTCAAGACAGTATAGAAGAAAATATGTATGATAGTGTGTTAATTTTTTATGTTGATTACACGTTGAGATGATATTTTGGGTATATTGGGTTAAACCAAATATGTAATTAATATTAAATTTACTTGTTTCTTTTTACTTTTTTAAATGTGGCCACTAGAAAATTTAAAATTAATTATGTGTCTCACATCATATTTTGATTGGACAGTGCTGCTCTAGAAATCTGGGAAGCTTCAGGGAGCAGGTACGTCAGGGGAACAAGAACCCAGAGGAGGTATGGGGAATGATGAGAGAAAATTAAAAAAAAATGCTGAAAGCAAATATGAATTACCAACTCTCTAATCTGCAGGTCAGAAAGGGTCATTGCAACCTTTGCAAGCCCCAAATCTGAGAGGTTGGGGCCCACCAACTTATGAAAATAGTATCATTCTCAAAACAAGCTCCAGCTGTGAGCCAGGGGATGGTTAACGGCTGTTTTTGAGGCAGATTTTGTAGATGGACGAGGCAAGAATCATTAGGGCAAAACAGTAAATCAAATTGGAGGGTAAAAGTCAATCCTTTAACAATGGCTGGGCCAGACCTCTAACATCTTCCTGCCCGCCCTTTTACCTCTCTGGCCTCATCTCCTACTCAGCTTCTTCCCCATCCCTGCCCCTACTCCAGTTACAATGGCCCGTTTGATGAGCCTCAAACACATCAGGCATGCTCCTGACTCGGGACCTTCGCGCTGGCTGTTCCCCCTGTTGGAAACGCTCTTCCCCTAGCTATCCTATGGCTTAATATCTTAACTCACCTCATCAATAAGGCCTACCTGCCCATCTTATTTAGAATTGCAACTCCAATTGCACTCCTTTACCCTACTCTTGTTTTTCTTTTTGTAACTGTTACTACCTTCTAACATATTCATTGATTTACCTTTTATTGTGTTTACTGTTAATCTCCCTATTAGGAAGTATGTTCTCCAAAGACAGGGATCTCGGTTTTATTTCCTTCATTATCCCCCATACCAAGTCAGTGCCTGGCATAGAGCACCTGCTGAATTAACTTTGTTTTTTGAATGAACGAAAGCGTCAATGGTGATGCTCAGGGCAGGTTTGGTCAGTGGACAGGCATCCTCTGTGTACCCTCTCCTCTCCGGAAGAAAAGGACTCTTTTTTCCTCTCCTGCAGTTGGATTTAACTAACCTCGCTTCCCGTTCAGCGTTTACTACTCAGGGTTCTGCCCTGTTCTGGATCCCACACATAGGCTCCCAAGAGAGTAAAAGAAGCAGTGAATGCAGAGGAAAACGCCCTGGATTGGAAGCTGGGATTCCTAGGTGCCCTCCTGGCTTAGCAGCAACGCACTTGTTTCCCCAGCTGTCAAGGGTTCCAGGCTCAGTGGGAGGCTGAACAAGGTGCTGACCGAGTTCAGAAGAAAAATGAGGGGAAAATCGTTACCTAAAGGGCAGTGGCTCTCCAGGGATGGTCCTTTGACCAGAGGAATCAGCATCACCACCCTAAACCCACAGAATCAGAAACCGTGGAGGGAGCCAGCAACGTGTTTGAATACAGCCTCTGGGTGATGCTGATGCACTCAAGTTTGAGAACTGCTACTCTGGGGGAAAGAAGGACTTTGTTGGAGCCTTGGAGGCAGGGACGGACTTCATAGGTCAGGCGAGAGGACAGGTCCCCGCGAGGGCGGACTAGCACTGGGTTGGTTCCCTGCATCCAAGGCCGCGCAGGGTGGTCCCAGCCCCAGTCTGACCTGGGAAGTTGGAAAGGCCAGGGCTCCTACGTGCTCACACCTCCACCCCAGGAAAGTCCCGGCGGCGAGGCCGTGACCCTCCGCCGGAACGCCCGCCTCCCTGCAGCCTCAGCCCCGCCCGGGAAAAACCGCTGCGACCCGGGGCAGGTCCGTTCCCGCTGCTCGCAGCCGGCGGTCCCTGGCCCGGCGGTCCCTGGCCTAGCGCCCCCGCGCCGCGCTGGTGGGGAGCGCGGCCCCTCCGCCCCGTGGCAAGTTCCCTTCTCAACTGCCCTGCGCCTCCGCTGGCCCGCGTGAAACCCTCTCTGCTGCCTCGACTGACTGTCGTTTCCGTGTCTTGATTGTGGCCTCTGCCTCTCCCCCTTCCGATTTCGTTCGACTTCTTTCTACAGTTACTAAGCGCCCACTGTGTGCCCTGGAAGGGACTAGACTCAGCAGGTAACGGGAAACGAAGGCACCTGCCGCTCTGAAGTTTCTCCGCATCTCCCTCCATCCTCTGTTCCATCCCCATTCTCAGCATTTGTCCCCTCCCTCCTCTTCTTTTTTTTTTTTTTTTTAATTTAATCTAAAGGAACCTTGCTTCTGGAAGACCTCACAGTAGAATTAAAAAGCCTACTTTTATCTGACTTCTAGAGAGTTGCAATTAAAATGTACATCTTACCTTGACTCATGCCAACAAGTTAAGCTGTTATCAGCTATTAACACCTCAACCAGAATTAGTTTATTAACCTAAAGCAGACAGCTTTATCCTATGGAGGTCGCCTACTTGAGATAAACTATTATTCACATACTTTCACTTTTGTGCCACTCACTCATTCAAAGAAAAATATTCAGTCGTTCAACTATTTATTGAGCACCTAGTATGTGCCAGCATTGTTCATGACTAGCACTGGTCGATGGCAATAATATTAACTACATACGACATTTTAAATTTTCTAGCAGCCACATTAAAGAAAGTGAAAAGACATAGGTAAAAGTAATTTTAATAATTTAACCCAATATGCCCTAAATATTATTTCAATATGTGATCAATATAAAAATTATCAATAAAATATTTTACATTTACTTTTTTTTTAATGCTGTGTCTTTGAAACTTTGTGTGTATGTTACACTTCCAGCACATCTCAGTTCCTGCTAGGAACATTTCAAATGCTTAATAGCCACATTGGCTAGTGGCCACTGTGCTAATCACTGCAATTCTAGACACTTGGAGAACAGCTATGGAAAGACAAAGGTAGAAAGTCAGTAAACTCATGAACAAATAAAATAATCATAAGTAGTGTTCAATGCTAGGAAGAAATTAAAACAAAGTAATGACATAGAATGATGGACATTACCTCATTTAACCTTTTCAATTCCCCCCTCAAGTTGAATAATAGTATATAACAATGTTATAGGCCGGGTGTGGTGGCTCACGCCTGTAATCTCAGCACTTTGGGAGGCCGAGATGGGCGGATCACGAGGTCAGGAGATCAAGACCATCCTGGCTAACACGGTGAAACTCCGTCTCTACTAAAAATACAAAAAATTAGCCAGGCGTGGTGGCGGGCACCTGTAGTCCCAGCTACTCAGGAGGCTGAGGCAGGAGAATGGCGTGAACCCAGGAGGTGGAGCTTGCAGTGAGCCGAGATCCCGCCACTGCACTCCAGCCTGGGCGACACAGCGAGACTCCGTCTCAAAAAAAAAAAAAAAAAGAAAAAAAAAAAACAATGTTATATAACAATTTTATAGCTATGAAAACTGAGGCTGAGACACAAAGAGCAACTTGTCCAAGTGCTTACAACTGGTAAATTCTATGTCCAGGATTCAGATCCCAGCTTGACTGTCTTCCATGCTCATTCCCATTACCCTACAAGGCCAGGTCATAAAGAAGACAGAGGGGAGGGAGGAGGAGTTGAATGGCTTTTGGGGTTTAAACTTTTGAGCACTGAACTAGGAATTTGGTGCTGCTGTGTGTTATTGATTAGGTCTCATGACCTCTCTGGGCCTTCCTCGCAGGTAACATGGAAAGCTTGGCCTTTTTCACTGGACCATTCACAAAGGGAATAAAGAGTTTTGAATAAAATAGTTAAACTTTTTATCCTCAAATGTACCTGCTTTTACACAAGTTTTGTGAAAAGCTCAAAGTATTTTTTTCCTTAGTTCGGGTGGACTAGACTAAAGACAATGGAGACAACATTGCATAGTGCTAGAAGCAGGGGGCTTTGAGTGGTGGTTGGCTGGTCATCCTAGCTATGGGAACTTAACTGTTTTGAGTTTCAATTTTCTTTATTTTAAAGCAGGTATCTACCTCATGGCATATTTGTAGAAGGGAAATGAAATGTTGCATGTAAGCATTTAACATAGCAACTAGCACATAGTAATCACACAATAAATATTGGCCATTATATTAACAGCCCCCATGGGTATTATACATTTGGCATTAGAAAGACTTGAATTTGAGTCTTAAATCTATCACCTACAGGCTGTGTGACTTAAACAAATCAATTAGTATATCTAGTTCATCTGAAAAATGGGAACAAGAACATTATTTGTACAATCTGCCACAGTGTCTCCATAAATGTCAACTAAGATTCTGTATGTAAATGTGCTTTGCAAGCTGTGAAGTGCTGCACTCATGTTGATTAATCTTGGTGGTTACTTTTCTGTCAAGGCTTCATATCCAGTCCTTTGCAGATCTGAGCTGCCTCATCATTGCCTTTGTAGCAGAAAACTGAGAACTCAATCTTATTTTTCTTTGTACTAGCAGCACTCATCAAAATGTTTTGTGTGCCAGTGTGTCCAGATTATTAAAGTTAGGAGTCAGAGGATCTAGTTTGGCCTCTGCTACACACTGGAGGTGTAATCTTAGACCAGTCATTTAACTTCTCCAAGCTGTTTTCTTAGTCCCAAAATAGGAATAGTCTTAATATTTGACTTTCCTACTTGTTGGGGTTATTCAGGATGATAAAAGAGATAAAAAGCCTGTTGAACACCATATATTTCTATAAAGGCTGAGGGGAACATTCCTAAGCATTATTCCCAGTAGGCAGCATGTCTTTCCTCCTGGCAGCTCTTAGCCTTGCAAAACAGCCTGATAGAACTACTAATGGTTTCCTGCCTAGGTCCCTGCTGTTTCATGCCTCGGTGCTTGTGCACTTTGCACAGGCTGGTTGCTCTGCTTGGAATGCCCTTCTCCTCATTTCCTCATCTTTAAACCTCACTCCTTATTTACGGGATGCCTAAGAAACTCATTTTCCAAAATCCAGCTTCAAAGAGTCTTCTCCCTAAAACCCATTTAGACCCATTCAACCAAAGTCAATTACCACCTCCGCTCTGTGTCCCACAGTAACCAGTAAAGACTGCCATCATATCTCTCATCACCCTGCAGTACAACTATTGTTTAATTATTCATTTAACGGCAGCAGAATAGCACAGCAAAGAAGCACATAGGCCCTAGAAACTGGGTTCAAATCCTGGCTCTGATACTTAACTAGTTGTGTTGGGGAAGTGACTTACTATCTCTGTGCCTCAGTGTCCTTAACTGTTAAGCAATGATGATAATGATACCTCCTTCATACAATTGTTGCTTGGAAGAGACACATTAAACCCTTAGAATAGTGTCTGATGCATAGCGGATGCTCCGTAAATCTCAACTTTTATTAATGTTTCTGTCTTTCTTATTTGACACCAAGGACTTATCCTCGGTGCCTAAAACAACCCCTGACACACAGGAAGAACTCAACAAATGATCGTTGAACTTATGACTCAGAGAATCCCACATGCCATGAATTCCTGTGTCTCTATTCAGTCCTCTCCCTTACCCCCTGGATCCTGTCCACTCTCCACTTTTCCTTAGAAACAGGTCTTGCAGCTTCTGCTTTCCATTCAGCATCAGCACTGCTTTCTTGGCTAGGAGTTCCCCTATCTCCTGCCCTGTTTCCTATTTGGCTTTCTGACTCAGATTCTTCCTGTTCCACCCAGCTAAGAGCCCTGCTTCAGACCCAACCTGCTAAGACATTGTTTTCTCCACTCATTCTCTGCTTTGAACCCTCCAGATCCCATACTTTCTACTGATTATATCAGACGTCTTCTGCCAGGAGTGTTAAGATCCCCCGTGACCACTAATTTATCTTCTCACTGCTTGCCTGGGCCTTTCTCTGAGCTTGGCAACCCCTTCACCATCTTATCCACCTACGTTATCCATCCACCCATCCATTCCGCCACCCAAATTACCCACCTATCTACTACCATCCCTTCAACTACCTACTCACCCATCCACCTCCCCACCCACCTTTCCATTCATCCATCCATTTGTCCACCCAGGCATTAAATTAACATTCACCGTGTATTTATCACCCTCCAGTCACCATATAGAACACAGACTTGGACAAGAAGAAAAGCTGGTCTCCAACTCCTTGTAATTTTTAATCTACAAACGGAAATCAGATAACTGAAGAACTGTACTTTGTGGCAGAAGATATTTTGTGTCATATGGGTGCTATCACAGGCTTCTAAATTAAGCTTCAGGGAATCTGAACTTCTTAAAATCATAAGCAAAATTGTGTGGGTGAGAGGGTGTGTGTGGTGCCTCTTTATATATATATGGGCGTTTCTCAAAGGAGAGGCTCCACGGCTCTGTGATATTGTCAAAGGGGTTTTCCAGGAAATACCAGGGGCCGGGTAAGGAAAAACCCAGGGAAGAAATAGCTTTAGTTTAGGGCTTTAAAGGGAGGAAAATGGAAACTAACATTTATTTCAGACCCACTATGTGCCAGGTAAAACTTCTAGTGTGGCAACCCTAGATATGTCCTTGTTTGGAATATGGGAATGGGTGGGAAACAAGTTGGAGGAAGCTAGCCTTTATTGAGTACTGGGCCAGGCAGCATCATTTTATTTAATGCTTACAGTAACGTTTCAAAATAGGTACAGTCATGTGCCACATACTGTTTTGGTTAGTGGCTGACTGCATATATGATGGTGGCCCCACATGATTATAATACCATATTTTTATGATTATAAGATTATAATACGTTTTCTATTAATTTATAGATGCATGAATATTATTGTATTATAATTCCCTATAATATTCAGCAACGTAACATGCTGTATAGATTTGTAGCCTAGGTGTGTAGTAGGCTACACCATCTAGGTTTGTGTAAGTACACACGATGATGCTTCCACAACGACAAAGTCACCTTAAGGACACATTTCTCAGAATGAATCCTCGTTGTTAACTGTCACATGGCTGTATATTATATGTATCTTACGGAGGAAGACACTCAAAGAGGTAAAGCAAGGCCCACACCCCACAGCCTCGAGGCGTAGAATAAAAAAGATTTGAACTGAAGTCACTTGGGCTCTAGGGCCCATGATCTCTGCATCCCTCCCAGGGCTTCCTGTGGATCAAGCATGTCACTGTGTAAGTGCTTTACACTGTAAAACACCACTCAGTGTAAGAGAAGATGCTGTTGTCTGTGCTTTGAGAACATTAAAAGGGTTTTACAAGCCTAAGGAATTGCTGTCATTAAATTTTCAACAACCTCCAAAAAGAATGACCTTTTCCTGGAGATTCAGCCTATGTAAAAGGTCAGCGAATCTTGGTTCTCACCCAGAGAGTGTTATCACAGCAGTTTCCAGGAACAAGGCTGGGTACAGGGCAGTCACTCAGCAAGCACTTGTGGCTGGGTCTGTTGGCAGAAAGGAGCCCTCAGCCTCATGCCAGCCTCTGTGCCCCCCGACCCCTGCTGGGGTTTCTGCCTGGGGAGGGCAGGAGAGTGCTTCATCATAGCCAGCAGAGGAAGTGTCACCTCAAAACCACCCCTTTGCCTGGAGCCATGGGCCTGGCCAGCAGAATACACACTTCTATGTCCGGAAATTTCTGGAACTTTGAGAAAGCTTGTGTCCCATTCAGCTGCCCACCCAGAGTATTCCCCCTGCTGCCTAATATTCACCCACTCCTTGTGTGCATGAAGGAATTCAAAATCCCTGGACTTCTTGCAAGGGGAAAATTGAACTAAGTGACCTCTAAGTGTCCTTCTAGTCACAGAAAACTGGGATGAATTAAGAGAGAAAAGATTTTTTTCAACTAAAATTTTTTTCTCCTTCAAAGCAAGGACCATATAATTTGTTGATTTGGCCTCATCACACCCTTTACCCTCATGCTCCTGTCCATCTCCACAGCCGCCACCCTCCTCCAGAACACCACTATTATTGCCCCAAATCACTGCTTCAGCCTCCTAACAGCTCTCCCTGCATGTATCTTGTTATGTCCCAGCTGTTCTCAGAAGCCAGATTGGTATTTCTAAATGGATCTCCTATCTCGGGCCTGCTTATAATTCTTCCATTGCCGTCCTTGATGGATTTCAAGACCTGAAGATTTTTCCGACTGTTTGGCTCTCCTTTCACCTCTTCACACATTGTGCCCTTGTACCCTGTGCTCTGGCCACCTCATCCTCACCCACCCACCTTCCCTGGCTCTTTCCATGTGCTGTTGTCCCTGTTGCCTGCATCTCCAAACCCCTCCCTGCCGTAACTCTTTTTCAGCCTGCAGGGCTCAGTCACTAACACAGAGATGCTTCCCTTGAGCCCTCCCCGCTTTGTTTCTTTTTTTTGAGAGGGAGTCTCCCTCTGTTGCCCAGGCTAAAGTGCAGTGGCATGATCTCGGCTCACTGCAACCTCCGCCTCCCAGGTTCAAGCAATTCTTCTTCCTCAGCTTCCCAAGTAGCTGGGATTAAGGCACGCACCACCACACCCAGCTAATTTTTGTATTTTCAGTAAAGACAGGGTTTCACCCTGTTGGCCAGGCTGGTCTTGAACTCATGACCTCAAGTGATCTGCCTGCCTTGGCTTCCAGAGTGCTGGGATTACAGACTACAGGTGTGAGCCACCATGCTGGGCAAACCCCTAACAGAGGAAGAGGTGCCTTCCTCTGTTGTTACTGCACGCACAGTCCTCTTCACCCCATATTGTAATTTTCTGGTAAGTTTTCTGTCTCTGCCACCGGCTGTAAGCTCTGGGCAGGCTGCTTCTCTGTTTGCTGGTTTGTCATATTCTCAGGGTCTTGCCCACAAGGCCTAAGACCCTCACCTTTAAGAGGTACTCCATGAACACGTTTGCACTCCACAGAACAGGGATCTACTCAGAGCGCTGGTGAGGTTAGATTTCTTTGCCCCAGAGCTTGGAAGGCCTCACTGCAGAGGGCCCCAAATGTGGAAACCATTAGTGCCTCCTCCCTCTGCTCTTAGTGAATTTGCTGGGAAGGCAGGGGGCCATGGGAGGCACCTGAATCATATTATAGAGCTTGGAACCAAAGGAAGGCATAACTGAGTGGCCTTCCCTACCCCCAGCCCCTGTTTTTAGCCAGATGACCAGCACCCTGCCCCCTCAGGCACCCTGCCCACCTCTCTGCCAACATGTTCTGGCTGTGACAGCACCACCACCACTGCATAGGCAGGGGCAGTCACATTCAGAGTGGGTGAGGCAGAGAGTCACTTCAACCCTGACATTCTATCTGTCCCTTGTGACTCAGGTTGCCACTTACCCCTGGGGCTTCAGGACACAAGCAGGGATCACCCTTTCAGTAGATATCAGTGATATGGGGAAAAGGCCAGACAGTGGGCTGGGCTGCTGAGTCACTGAGAGTGAGTTTCCCTGCCTTCCGCTCTACCTGAGTTTGCCTGTCTATCTCAAGGGGCGTCTCTTCCCCTCTCTGAGGCCAGTGTGATTCCTGGAATGGATTTAATTCACAGCATGCAGTGGGGATATCCCTTGTCTACCTTTTTCTTTTCTCTCTCTCTTTTTTTTTTTTTTTTTTGAGGCAGAGTCTCGCTCTGTCGCCCAGGCTGGAGTGCAGTGGCATGATCTCGGCTCACTGCAACCTCCGCCTCCCTGGTTCAAGTGGTTCTCCTGCCTCAGCCTCCCGAGTAGCTGAGACTGTAGGTGCACACCACCACACCTGGCTAGTTTTTGTATTTTTAGTAGAGATGGGGTTTCACCATGTTGGCCAGGCTGATCTTGAATTCCGGACCTCAAGTGATCCACCTGCTTTGTCCTCTCAAAGTGCTGGGATTACAGGTGTGAGCCACCACGCCCAGCCCCTTGTCTACGTTTTTAAAGGAAGATGATCTAACATGGTTGGGAAGAAAGCAGGCTTTGGAGTCAGACATGCTGAGCTGAATCTCAATTCTGTAGTCTACTAGCTATGGCACCCAAAGCAAGTTGCTTAACCTCCCTGACCCTCAATCCCTCCTCTATAATGGGAGGATAATGCTACCTAACTCGTAGGATTATTGTGATAGTAAATGCAGTAAAGTATGTGAAAGGCTTAGCTGAGTCCTTGGCAAATGGTGAACAGTTCCTAAATGGTACGTGTTATTATTTATACAAGCTGACGTCTTCGTAAATGCTTGATCTCTGGGGAACACCATGTCTCTCCATAGACCCCAGGCTCTGGCCTCCAACTCTGCACATCCACAGTCATATGTTTGTGGCTTTGGAAAATTTAGTTGAAATGTGGTGAGACAGGAAGAAAAGAAAAGGAAGTAAAAGGGTAGTGACTTTTTTTCTTAACTGTCTCAGATGCACAAACTGCTTCCTCAACTCAAATAACTCCTGGCTATGTTTGTCTGAGCAGAAGCCAGATGCACAAGAGAACACGGGGGCTGTATAGATAGTCCGGAGAGCAGGGTTTTACTATGTCAGGCTTTCTGTCTCAGACAACTAGAGAAAGCAGAGTCTGGTAACTGAGACTTTGAAATACATGCACTCCTTTACTGTCCGCTGAATTGAGACAGGTTCTGCGCTTTGGCTCTTGGTTCAATCTCTTTTCTCCTCTTCGTCCAATGCTTCTACTCCTCCAAATAGAGGAAAAACATCAGTGTACTCTCTGGATCAACATGGAGAAGACCTAATTTGCTCAGTGTCATTTGGCAAGATGTTTAACCTCCCTTGTAACCTAGCTATCTTTAGCTTCCATGATGCTATTTTGAAATGTCAAACTAGCAAATACTGCTTCCAGAATGGTTCTGATCTGGGATGTGACAGGATGCGTGGGGGTTGGGGGAGCCAAGGAGGGGGTGGGGAGAGCCAAGGAGGAGGTGGGGATGGTGAAGGAGCCTGCTGGTAGAGGGTGAAATAATGTACCAACTTTGCAACCACCAGGATTCTCTCCCTTCTATGGCCTCTGCCACCTCCTCCAGGGGACTGACCCATTTAAGGGAGACATAGGGCACTGAGTCTCACCTGGGTCTAACCTAGAGGGATGTGGGCCCAGGAGTCTGCGTTTTGAGCAAGCACTCAGGCATTCTGATGTAGATAGTCCAGGGTGTACGAGAAACCTTAGCCTGCAGTAACAACTATTTCCTAAGTAAGCATTATCCCAATGCTGAAAGCCTGGGATATAGAAATACCACCACACACCTTGAAGAGCTCATGGTTCACAGTCTCCAGAAAGTGACAAAGAATGCCATTTTAGGGTACAAAGTACTTTGAAAGCAGACATACAAAGTGCTTATAGGGCTGCAGGGAGGAGGTATCTTGCTCCGGGAGAGCTAGGGATGCTTTTTTTTAAAGAAGGGATATTTGAGTTAGGTCTTGAAATATAAGAAGTGTTTCTCAGATAGAAAAAGAGTAGGTGCAGATTGTACTTTCCGAAGATGGACTCACCAAGATATATCTCCCATCCCACATGCTCTTACAATGGGACTGGCATGCTTCCCACAGAGAAGTGGGGGGGTCTGTGTTCCCTTCTGAATCTGGGTGGGGGCGTGTGACTTCTTCCACCCAGACAGTGCAGCAGAAATGATGCATGAGACTTCTGAGGCTGGGTCACCAAAAGGCCATAAGGCCTCTGCTTGGCTCTTTCTCTCTCAGGATATACCCCTCTGGAACCCTGAGCCAACATGTGAGGAGTCCAGCAACCCTGTAGCTGCCACATGGAGAAATCATAGCAATAGATGGAGATGGTGGATAATTCCAGCCCCCAGCCCTTGAGCCACCGCAGCTGACACTGAGTGTCAGCTGTTCCCTCTCAGCCTGCCTGAACCACGGATTTTTGAACAAAATACATGGCTTTTTTTGTTTGTTTGTTTTAAACCACTACATTTTGGGGTGCCTTGTTACACGGCAGTAGATACCTAGAACAGGCTAGAAGAGCAGTTTAGGAAGAGGAAATGACAGCAGGTGCAAACGTATTGAGTGGTGAAAGGGGCGTAGAAACTATTTTTGAAATTTGGAGAGAATCAATATCCTCACACAGAATTTAGAAGTCTTGCTTCACTGCAGACTGACACATGCAATCAAGCTGCCTGTGTGTTTGCCCAAGAGGTGCAGGCTAAGCTCTTTCCCTAGGCCACGTGACCCACCAATTTGGTGCTGCCTCAGATTGGCATACATGATTTTAACTGTCGTGCCTTTGCTGAGATGTAATTTTAAGAATGTGGGCAGCACCTTCTCAATCCCTAGGAAAAGATTCATTAGATGTTGAAACCAGTGAGTCAGGCATCATCTGGTCTTCCTGCCTAAGGTCTTATGGTGCCAAGCACCATGCCTGGCACGCAGAGGGTCATACAATGGTGACTGAGCCTGCATGTGAATAGTGGTATCAGCCCTAGAGCCTATGTCTCTGATTTGTGGGCTCAGAGTCTTGGGAATGGGAGGATTCTTTACAGAATCCCAACCATTCTGCCAATATCAAGGATTCAGTTCTGCTCACATACCTCTTCTAGCCACCTATTCTCACTTATTATGAAGTTCTTTCTTCAAATGGGTCTATATCTTTTCCTCAAAATTCCCACCCATTAAGCCTTATTCTGTCTTTGAGGAATAGGAATTTGCTCCCTTTTCCTTATGACTACTGTGAGGGCTTTGGGAAATAGAGGAAAAGCATCAATGTTTTGGAACATAGAGGAAAAACATCAGCTTGGCTAGGCCAAGCCACCCACCCCAGAATTCCCTCTCTTGTCTGTTTCTTGTTAGGGTGGGCCATAAGAGATAGTCTTCCATGAGAGTTGCAGGTTGGATGGGAGGCAGAGACCACTTTATAGCATATGCACACCATCCCCCAGGGATTCAATCACACACTAATCTAGGTGCTGCAGTGAAGGGGATTTGCAGATGTAATTAAAGTTCCTATTCAGTTGATTTTGAGTGTGTCAAGTGCAGCTGGACTTGCAATTGTTCTCTCTTCCCTGTGCGTCTTCCCTTCCTGATTGTTTTCCCTGTGGCTTAGTCAGCTTCCCAAATTGCATAGGATAATTAATAATACTTGAAACAATAATAATGATAAGTTATTTAATTTTATTTAATTATCTATGCATTTATCTATCATTCATCCTTTCATTCATCTATCAGCCAATCAATCAGTCAATCAACCAACCATCTCTCCTATGATTCTGCTTTGCTGGTTAAGCCCTGACTGATACAACCGTCTTTCGGAAGACCTCAATGCCCCAGTCTTCCATCGCTAGTTGTGTGGCCCGACTTCCACCAATGTGCCTTATGCAATGTGGTTTTGAGTCCCATTACCATGCTGGCCTCTTTCCAGACATGCTACGTTTTTATGCCTGTCCCTCTTACAGTTTATCCATTCAGGAAGCATTTATTGCATTACTGCTGAACGCTGAGGATCATCTGGGGGATACAACAAGAAACAAGACTCACCAGTTCCTGTATTCATGGAGTTTGGGTCCCTAATTCTGAGACCTTATTTTCTGTAGGGTATACTAGTCTTACTAGCATTGGAGGAGGAAGTTTGTTTGACCATCAGTACCATAAGTACCACTCAGTGCTAAGGATAATGTCAGCATCATTATTTGATGACAAGGCTGGACAATAGTTCTATTAACTTCCAGGCATTTAAAAACTAGTCATTCCATATAACCTTCCTAGCAATCATATGATATAGACATGATCCTTCCCAACTCTCAAATGACCCAGAAGACTACATGGCTTTGTAAGTGTGGAGTCAAGCAGTGACCCCAAGTGTATAAGACTCCAAATACCATGCTTGTGGTTGAATGACAAAATGTGGCCTTTTCCTCCAAGGGTCTCCTTGAAGACAGCCAGCTGTCATCCATCTGGGACCCAAGTTTTTTTTTCCAGGTTCTCTTGTTCCTGCGGCTCTAATTCCCTGACAATCTTACTTTAGTCTCTAGTCCACCCTACAGGGAAGACCCTTGTGCTCTTCAAAGGCTCAACAAGGCAACTTGCTCAGACAGGAATAAATTATAAGTGATACTGAGAACAATCCTTTCTGTAGTTACCAATTTGGGCCTTTGACATATGATGAAATATGAAACATGGGCCACTGTTCTGCTAGGCCTATGGGATTTTAAGAAGAGCCATGTAGCAGAGGACAGGAACTAGCAATTGTGAGCACCCACTATGAGCCAGGGTCTGTGTCAATCATAATGATAAAGATAATTATTATTATTAATTGTGTACTTTTGTGCCAGATATTATTTTAAACTTTTTACATATATTAACTAATTTAATCTTTTTAACAACTACATGAATTAATTACTCTTATTATCCCCTTATTACTGATGAGAAAAAAGAGAGACTTAGACACTTCCTTACATGATATAGTTAGTAAATAATTGGGATTTACTAACAAAGTTGGAATTTGAACTCATGCTGTCTGGTTCTAGAGCCTGTGCTCTTGTAGAAATCATGGTGGCCCATTAAAATCATTTATCTAATTGAATCCTAAGAGCCCATGTATGTGAAATGCCATCTCAGCTCTGCTAGATCCTCCCACAGCAAATGCTTTATTGTGGTAACATGTCAGTCCCTGCCTTTACTCAATAAGCTTCTGGTGGGTGAGGGTAGGGGTGCACAGGTACTGTGTCTGTCTAGTTCACTGTTGTGTGTCCAGGGTTTAGCACGGCTCCTGGCACAACAGCATAGCAGGCCATCAAGACACAGAAAAGAGTACACATATTGTACAAATGAGGAAACTGAAACAAACAATGTGAGGTCAAAAAGGTAATGAGTGACAGAACTGAAGTTGAAGTCCAGATTTCCATGAGACTGAATTCCATCAAAAGCTGTCTTTTGATCACATTTTCTTTCCTCCTGCATATTGAGCTCACAGAGCAGGCCCTGTTACATAGTAGGTGCTCAATAAAATGTGCTATTAAATGAACAAAGTGCCCTGTTCTTCAATTCTTCCAATATCCCATTCCTCCACTCTTTATCTTAGAATTTTCTTTTCCATGATGCCAACACACAGTCTAAGACATGTTTTCCATGCTCACCCTTAACCCTGACCCTGTTATCTCTAGCTACTCTTTAATAATCTGACATTTTTATATCATGTTCTGCATGTGTCCCCAGCCCCTTTTGGAAATGCCTGCTGTTTGAGTTTGCGCCATCCTTCAAGATAATGAGGCCCACCTACATTTTCCCCCTTCAGAACCTCTCAGTATAGTTTTGGTTTGATTTCTTGGAATCCATGTGCTATAGATGGGGGAGATTTTTTCCAACCTACTAAGGAATCAAAGAGAGAGAGTTTCTTGGGTTTTTAGGAGTTGGGGAGCTTTAGCCAAGAGAAATATGGTAACTTCTTGGAATAAGTGGAGCCATGTCATACCCAAAGATTACAATGGGAGAACCTCAGGTAAATGATAAAGTCACAGTAGAGAAATTAAAATTCTTGTGGGTCAGAGGTAGTTTGAATTGCTGGAATGAGCACCAACCCAAAGAGGCAATGCCTGCTAATAAAATGAGCTGTAAACCCATGTTCTCGGTCCTTCCTTCCCTCTTCCCTTCCTCCCTTTCTCCCTTCTTTACTTCCTTCCAGGAAAAACATCCAGGCAAGTGGACAGCATTTGCAACAGCCCAGCAATAAGAAGGACCATATTCTACTTGGGAAAAGGTAAAGTCGTTTCATATGGACGGAGGTGAGTTCAAGGGGGAAAAGAAATGGAACTTGCCAAGTAAGTGGAGGCTGGCTCTTAAAGTTTGTTCTTCAGGCAATGGGGAGCCATTGATAAGATGTTAGTTAGAGAGTGCTTATGTTAATTCTCAATTTATTATTAAAATACTTTGAATATTTTAGGAACATATTTCGAGCTCTACACATACTTCTTGTATTTTGGTGGTCTTGAAGTCACAGGGCAGAGCTAGGAGTTAATTTCAGTTCCAACTCATGGTATGACTTAGCAAGTAAAGTCTTATTTTAGGTCCTTAGTTTTCTCATCTCTAAATGAAGAAAAAGAAAAGCAAGGGATTGGCAAGCTTAACATGCTCAATAGTTTTTCTTTGCTGAACTATTCCCGGAGGGTCAACCAGCCTTCAATAGGTGTGATTAATAAGTTACAAAAGATAAATAGAGTGTCTTCAAAGATTTTATGTTCCTTATTTAAATTTTACCTGTCTTTACAGCCTGCCAGGAAACCTGTCATTCAACCCTTTGCAATAAAACAGCTCCTCATGAATGAAGCAAAATAAATCAGAAGTTGTGGGCTTTTAAACTCACTAAATGAAAGCACAGCATGCATGCAGCCTCCCTCCAAATTAATCACCAGATTAAATGCAAGATGTGCACACCAAATCAATAGCTTGTGACGGGGACCTCCTGCCTGTGCTTCAGGAAAATTCCATTTCCTTTCAGATGTTGTCGCTTGAAATGTCAGGAAGTTTCCATTCATCACCCGCCCTTGAAAATGCCACCATCACCATACTTCATGTTTCCTTGCTTTCTTTCTTCAGAGGAATCCAAGCACCTTGCAGAGGGAGCCCACTCCTTGTCACAGACTCTCCTGGAGGCTGAAACAGGGGCAGTCTGCACAGAGGAGAGGTGTAGAGAGGCGCGATTTAGAAATAAGAAAACCAAATCGTAAAGAAGCCTAATGTCTTGTTGCAACATCTGAAAGAAACAAGATGAATATATTCCACTAGGTGGGAAGCTTAGGGTAGTGGGAAGAACATGGATTCAGGACTTTGAGAAACATGGATTTAAATTTTGATCCCCAATGCCTCTCTGCACTTCACTGTTATCTATAAAATAGAGGAAATAAAAATACTATACATTCAAGTCTTAACACCAACAGTTAACTAGTTGTGTAACCTTGGACAAGTTATGTGACCTCTCTGTCTGAGCATTGTCATTTGTATATGAGATCATGGAGGTTAAATGTCCAACCTGTTGTCACTGTGCACCTCAAAATAATAAATAAAACATTTCATCTCTCAATCAAGGCTAAATCCACTTTCTCTGCTCTTCAAAACTTGACCCTGCCAGCACCTTCTCCAGTAACCTCTAGATTGAGTGAGATCCCTTTTTGTAGTATAATAATAATAATAATAATACTTAAGAAAAACAGTGATAATAACACTAAAAACTAACACATTGATCACTTACTACACAACATGCTCTGGGTACTTTATTTGGATAATTCATTTAGTACTCGTAATAACCTTATCAGTTGTGTTATTATGTTCTATGTATTACAAATGAAGAAACTGAGGCACATAGAGTTTCTATTACCTGCTCACTAGTATCTTAGTCAGTTTGGGCTACTATAACAAAATACCATAAATGGGGTGGCTTATAAACAACAAACTTTTTTTTTTCATAGTTCTGTAGGTTGGGAAGTGCAAGATTAAGGTGCCTGTAGATTTGGTGTCTGGTAAAGGCTTTCTCATTGATGGGTATCTTCTCACTGTAAACTCACAAGAATGGAAGAAGTGAGAAATCTTTCCAGATTTCTTTTATAAGGGACTAATCCTATTCACAAGGGCTGTGCTCTCAGGACACAATCACCTCCCAAATGCCCCACCTCTTAATGCCATCACCTTGGGGGTCAGGATTTCAACATATGGATTTGGGGAGAACATAAACACTCAGATCACAGCAACTGGAAAGCAGGGAATTGGTCCTATCTTCCCAGAGAATCCCAAGCATCACTCCATCTTGATTATATGACCATGATATTTCCCTTTCAGCTCCACCAGACTGGAGGCTTTCCTGAAATAGGGACTTAGTGTAATCTAATTTTGTATTCCCAAAGTTTAGCACAGAGTAGGTGCTCCTTGAATTTGAAATGAAATAAAATTGACTTCTTATGCAAAGGCAATAGACCGTATTTAATAGAAAAGGCTCTGAATTGAGAAGGTGACATCCCCCATCAGAATGTTGCAGAACTAGACGTCATTTCACATGGAAGATACTCTGCCAGACTGGCACAAAGCAAAGACAACAGCAATGTACACAACAACCAAAAAAATAACAGAAAACCCTGCAAAGCCCCAGAAGCCCCCAAACTAGAAAATGTAAGACCCTTCCCTTCCCTACCTAAGCGGAAGACCCTTAATACATGTTTAAAGTGTTTGGTCTAGAAGTTGCCACTAGAACCTCAGTGAATGGTACATGTGATTGTCACACATGGATATGCCCAGTAAACGGCAAAGGAAAACTTCTTGAGGCTCTAATCCCAGAGTGCTGGCTCAGCCATTCTTAACAAATTCTTTTGTTCTTCTCACATATTCTTGTGTTGAAAAATTTCATGGGGTATTGTTGGAGTCAGGCCTCAGGACTGAGGGGAACTCCCTGATTATTGCAATCAAGATCCTGATGCTAGTAGTCGCAGCACAGGAGAAAAATAAAACCCCTATAAACATATAGAACAAAGCTCAACTGAATTGATCATTAAAGAAATTCAAACTAAGTAATGAGATAGTTTTTCAACGTTTACAAAAGTTAATACAATCAACAATATCTAATTTCAGTGGGGCTTTGGGGAAACATGTATGCTTATGTCCTATTAAGTGGGAGTACAACTTTGGAGTCTCCACCCAAACCTTGTTTCTAGGATTCTATCACTCAGAAATACCAGCACGTGTGCTCACAAATATATTTTCAAGCAGATTCATTCCAGCAACATTTGTAACAGTGAAACACTGGATGCTTCCAAGGTAGGAAAATGGCCTAAAAATTTCATGGTATATTCATGCAATAGTTAGGGAGCAACGAAAACAAATAGAATAGGTCTGTATGTATTGACACAAAAAGATGACCAGACTGTAGCCCTAAGAAAATGAACCTTGGCTGCACAGGAGGCCTCTAGCACTCTGCTCTAGTTCTTTGCCTGCTTGGATTGGTCCTTGCTTGTGCCACACCAGAGAAATAACTAAGTGGCTGTCGGGGATACAGATGGGAAGGGAAAGGAGAATATAATTTTTTTCATTTATATTTTTGATTCCCATCTCATCCTTGCTTTCTTCTATTATAATGTACATGAATGTTTTAGTGTGTTCGGGCTGCTATGACAAAAATACCATAAACTAGGTAGTTTGTAAACAATAAACATTTATTTCTCATGGTTCTGAAGGCTGGGAAGTCCAAGATCAAATGCCAGCAGATTTGGTGTCTGGCAAGGGCATGCTTCCTCATTGATCTCACCTCCTAACTGTATCCTCACATGGTGGAAGGGACAAAGGAGCTCTCTTCAGTTTCTTTCATAAGGACACTAATTCTAATCATGAGGGCTCCACACTCATGACCTAATCATCTTTCAAAGTCCCCACCTCCTAATACCAATACTAATACCAATACCAATACTAATATTTTGAAGGTCAAGATTTCACCATATGATTTTGGGGGCTAGGGGCACAAACATTCATACCACAGCATCACATTTTTTGGGGTTATCACTATTACTTTATTTGTTCTTTTTCAAAATCCTGGTGTTCAGTAAAAGCAAAGCCAGACTCTTGATGTGATGACAGTGCTATGTGTAACACAAGTATGGACAAAGCCCTTTGGTAATAGAGAAAAAAATGTAACAACAACAAAATCCCACCAGGAAGAGTGGGGAAAGGTGTCACTGAAATGGGATACCTAAGATTTTGCCTGGGCCTTGACTGGGAGAACAATGACGGCAAAGCCTTCCAGGCAGAGACACACAAGAGCCCAATCCGAGAGGCACGAAACCATGTGAGCTGTGGTGCGTCTGCAGCAGGATGACTTCCTTGGTGTTCAGACAGTTTATTCCATCTTGGGAGGGGGCACCAGAAGCACAGTCTAAGGAACAGCCTGGATTTAGCTCTAGTTGGGGAGCAGCCATGGGGAAAGAAGGCAAGAAAGCTACAATGGATAGTTTGCACATTGTTTTCATCTGACCTGCTGTGGAATGTGGCTCATAACTCATCTGCATATGCAGCTATTGAGGTGGACAAAGGAAATCCAGCCAGTGGAAATTCCTGGGAATCCATAATGAGGCCCAAATAGGAAATGCCAGTGAAGAGATTTTACTGGTGCCAACCCCAAATACCAACGTTCATGCTGTGTTCAGAGAACCTTCATTGCTTGTCAACTTTAGATGAGACATTTTGGCAAATGGTAAATCAATAATAATTGGGGTCCCATTGATATTATCCTTTCCAACCCTTTGCATGTAACTTGATGCTTCAGGAAGCTTTGAGTCAGGGATGATTATTCTAATTTTACGGATCTTAAATTGAGGCTCAGGGAGGTTTGGTAAATTCTTCAAGTTCACACAGCTAAGGGAGACAGGATGATATCATAAAATAATCCTTTCAGTTGGAATGATATAGGCCTGTTTTAAAATCTCTATTCCATGACTCACTATTTGGGTGACTTTGGGCAATTTACTTTCCTCTCTGCATTCATATTCCTATCTGTAGAATGTAGATAACTTTACTTCACAGAACTGTTGGAAGCATGGAATGAGATTATATATGTTGCCTACTTGCTACCCATATCCCCCTTCTTCCTCAGTGACTCATGCCTAATTTAGGGTGGAGGAGGCAGCACATACACCCTATTAAAACATTCAATTTTCCAGTCTCCCTAGCACCTGGGGGTGGCCACATGACATTGTTCTGGCCAATGAAATGTAAGCATAAGTCTCAGGGAAGGGTTTCTGGTCCTGAATAAGAAAGCTAAACCTTTTTGGTAAAAGCCTTTCTTCTCCTTTTCTTCCTTCTTGGAATAGGGAAAAGAGACCTGGAGATGCAACAGCTGTCTTAGAAAAACGATGAGTGGGTCTTTGGTGGTATTGTTGGACTGCTTTTCTTGGACTCCTCACGGCTTGAGACAAGTGGACTGTAGGTAGTTGAAGTGATTTGCAGCTCACCATATTTCTGGCTGATGGAGTAATTAAGGCTTTGACTCATCATACATACTCAATGAATAGCAGCCATTTTGATCAAGGCAGGGACCTTTCTCTGAACTGTGAGAATTTAATTCCCTGCACCCTACACATAAAACAGCATTAACATGCCCAACCATCCCCACCGACACTACACAGCACTCTTCTCTGTTCTCTGCCTTGCTCACCTCCAAAGTTGGACACACAGCCCTCTCCACCTGCAGATCAGCATCAGTTTAAATGAGATAACATGTAAAATCCATAGCACAGTGCCTGGCAAACAAGTATAAAACAAATGGGATTGTCCTTTTTTGAGACAGAAGGTTTTAAAGCAACCTCTGCAAATGAGCCTTCCTGCTTAACAAACATGTATGAAAAATTTTAGAGGGCACTATGACCTGCAAGATAAAGAAACTGAAGCAGTTTTGCATGGCATTCAAATCTCCAACCTATGCCTAGAGCTCTGGGCTCCTCTTCCTGAGTCCATAGATAATGTCCCCTCCCCTAAAACTCCCCCAAAAACTCACAGGAAAGTTTTTGTCCCCATCTGGTATTGCACTCATCTAATCATAGTCATTGTGGTTGCCCTTCCCACTGAAGGTGAGAAGTACATCTCATTTTTCTTTGTAAGAATTGTAGATCAGCCTCAGTTTAAATGAGATAACATGTAAAATCCATAGCACAGTGCCTGGCACTGATATTTATACAAAATTTGTACAAAAATTATACAAAATTTGTATAAATTTATGGAGTATAAGTATAATTTTGTTACATGGATATATTGTGTAGTGGTGAAGTCTGGGCTTTTAGTGTATCGATTACTGGAATAACATACATTGTACCCATTAAGTAATTTCTTATTATCCACCCCCCTGCCACCCCACACCTTTCTGTGTCTTCAGTGTCTACTATTCCAGACTCTAAGCCCATGAGTACACATTATTATGTTCTCACCTGTAAGTGAGAAGATGCAGTATTTTTCTTTCTGTGTCTGAGTTGTTTCACTTAAAATAATGGCCTCCAATTCATGTTGCTGCAAAAGACATAATTTCATTATTTTTCTTGGCTGACTAGTATTCCATTATGCATATATACCACATTTTCTTTATCATTTTTCCTTGACCCCCTAGTAACCCTGCACAGTACAGGTACTCAATTGTTATTATCAAATGACTAAATATGGTTCTAGTCTATGCCTAGGAGTCTATTCACATGAAGGTTTTAGCTGTTTCCTGAACACAGCTCAGCATTTCTATGCCTCAGTACCATTGAACATGCTATTCCTTTGGCTTAGAATTCTCCTCATCCATTTTATCCCTGCAGGACTCCTACTCATCCACACACACCACCTCAAATGTCACTTCTTCCAACTCTCTCAGTTGCTCTCTCCCCTATACTCTTAAGGCATCTTATACTTATTTCTACTACAGCACATAACTCACTATTATTGTGAGTCATCTACATGCTTCTCTTCCCTGCCAGACTGTGAGCTCTTAAAAACATTTACTATTTTCTTCTGTCAATTGTATTCAATATACGCCTGGCATATGGTAGATATTGAGAATTTTGGTGAATCTGGTTGCACAAAATTTACAAAACATTCTGGCTTTCAGTTGTTGCCACCCCTATTCCTGTAATGAGACTTGTAATATCAGGGATTATGGGGGAAAGTGAAAGGAAATGATCCTTTATTCAGCGTCTACTATAAACCAGGCATTTTTGTTGTCCAAGTTGCTTCCAGAAAAAGCATGAAACATGCTCTCAAAGAGCTGTGACTTCATTGTGGAGATACACTATACTTACACAAATGTTTTAGAGGTTGGTGCCTTTTTCACTTTGAATCACACCTCCTGGGGTGACCGACTCACTACACATCCATGGCTTTAAGAATTTCAGGTGCCCCCCCAATGGCCCTGTCTGTATTGTGACCTCTTAACCCACAGAGACACCAGAGCCTGACCCAAGCTACCTTAGTCAGATTCTCTTTAGTAGAAATATGAAAATTGGAATGAGTTGCTGAAGAGATTGGGAGTTGCTGGGGAAAGAGTCATGTTTGTGGCAGTCCTCAAGGGTGAAAGAGAGACCATGAAGAATTTCAAGAAACCAGAATTGCCCTGGGTCCTCCTATCTTGGTAGTTCAGCATTTCCTTTGATTCTCTGAGACACCCCCAGCATTCTTCCAATAAATGTTTCCTTTGCTTAAGCAAAAGAACTCCATTTTAGATGCTTACAAGTAAAAAAAAAAATATGACCAATGTAGTCCAAAAGAATTTCCTGTTTTGTCTCTGAGTTGGTTAGGATTTGCATCAGCTGCAAGTGATAGAAAATTCAAAATAACGATGGCCTAAAAAGAGTACAAGTTTATTTTTCTCAATGAAATGTAGGCAACCAGGTCTAGTTGCCTAGTTCTCAGGGATTCAGGTTCCCTCAGGGATTCTTGTTCCACCAGTCTCAGGATGGAGCTTTCATCTTGTGGACCAAGATGGCTGCTCAAATTTCAGGCATCATGTCATTACTCTAGCTTACAGGAAGGAGGAAGACATGCTCCTCCCTCTAAAGATGTATCCCAGAAGCTGAACACACCATTTCTGCTTAGTTACATAACTCCCATATGCCAATTATCTTCCATTTGCCTCCCCAAATGCACTGCCTACTCCTCGTCGTCTGCTGTCTGTCTTTGTGGGTTGGCATGTGTCAACCACATCAGTGGGCTATTGTAACCTTTGGTTTCTATGGTTCTAGCTCAGACAGTAGGGATTCTAGCAGGAGATCAGAAAAAGAGAAGAGTGAGGTCAGGGTATTTATTTTTCTGGATCCCTCCCATCAAGGTTGCATTGGCTGGCTCTGTCCCTCAACTCAAGATAACTGATCCTTGCAAAATGAATGGCACTACTTGACTCTCTCTTTTTCCAGGTTCTGGTAACTCTTCCTTCTCTCCATCCCATGCAGCCCCAAAGGAGTTAACAACAGCCTGGCTGACATGAGCTTTGCTTACTACACTACTCTTAAAGTTTCTCCATACCCAATCTCAGTCATTAGCCCCTTTATAAATCAATCTTCTTGGAGTTATTCTACTTTGAATATATCATCTATACTATGTGGGGACTTTGACACATCCATTTAAGTATAAGGATTTTATTATGGGCCATGTACTCAACCTAAAAACTGAAGGCTGTGTTACTAAAAAAGAGGAGGACCAATATTATAGGATGATTAGCAGTCTTTGCCACAGTCCCATCAGTCTTTCATGATCAGTTCTCCTGTTTTTTATGTCTACTTTTTATAGCTTGAACCTTCTATTCCCTACTGTTAATATCCACAATAGAAGGAAATCAACATCTTTCTTACCTCATACAAGATTGTAAGAACCTACAGATCCACCTCTATATGGGAGAGTTATAATTGTTGATTAGTCCTGTTTGACCCAGGCAGGGTAGTAAAATCAACATATGCTCAGTGAATGTATGAATGACATGATGGAACTATGTTTTCATTTTTTTCAATTGAAAAACTGGTATATTGTACCACAAAAAGGTTTAACTCCCTTCTAGCTCTGATCTCCAAGTATTATTTTGTCAGTTCTATGTCACAATATTCCATGAGTCATAGAAAGAAATATAGTAACAGTGGAGATTAGAGTCCAGATCACATAGCTGGGGAGACAGACCCAAGAAGGAACCTGACATGGTGACCCAGACAGAGCCAGGAGAGAAGCCATGAGCTTAGCTCACACAGATTCTGACTGTGAGAAGAGGCAAGAGATGGAAGGCAACTTTAAGTACAGAAAACAAACTCACACATCCAGAGGAAGTGCATAGGTCCGGGCAACGAAAAGCCTGAAATCACATAGATGGCAAGACAAGAGTCAATCCTAACAAAACCAAGGAATATGGTATTTCTTAATAGAATACTCTAGCTTTCCAAGTCAAAACCTGGGTGCTATGTATGATGGCTACCTCTTCCTTAATTTCTATATCCAATCAGTCTTCCAGCTTAGTTGACTATGCTGTAAATATCTCTCATTCATCTACTTTTCTTGATTCCCATTTCCAATAACATAGCTCAGGCCCATGTCATCTTTTGCCTGCATTAATGCTACTGCTGCCTGATGGATTATTATTTCCCCCCTAGAGCCTCCTTTTCCAAACATCTTTCCATGACATCTCTCCAGAACATAAATGAGACCATGTTATTTACCTGGGAAAACTATTCAATAGTTCTCAGTTCTCCAGGATAAAGTTTAAAATTTTAATGAGACCTTATGTTATTCATCAATTATATCTCCTTTCGGCCTAATCTCACCCCATTCCTCTATTACCCTTGTGGCACTTCAGCCACACTGAAATACTTCCAATTCCCAGAAGAAATTAAATTAGCTTTTGCATATGTGTGCTTTACTTCCAATTCCCCTCACTTTCTTCAGCTGATGCTTTCTTTCTTACTCATCCACTGGGACTTTACTCATAAGCCATCCTTACCCACAGGGTTCATCTTGATTCCCCTACCCTTGCTCAGGCTGGAATAGGTATCCCCCGCTTTGGGTTCTCATAACCTCTGGGTTTATCTCTACTGCATTCCTTATCATGATGCATTGTTATTTCCATGTTATTTGCCTATTCCTTTCTGGTCTATGAGTTTCTTAATGACAAAGGCTATATCTCATGCAACATGGTATCCTCAGTGCCTACCACAGAAGCTGACAAAGGAGGTGGTCAAATCATGCAGTCAAAGCATGCTTATGGAATAAATGAATAAATGAACAAGTCCAGTCATGTGTGGAGAACAGTGGGATGATCACCTTCCTTGTTTCAGACACCACACCTCTATTAATGCAGACCAACCTAGCTTTTTCATCTTGTTTGGTTGTTGTAACACGACTATCTCTGCCTCCAGTCTTGAGGCTTGCCCTTCTCTCTTATGTATAAATAAAAGTGTAATAGTGGAACTTCCATTTCAGGCCATGATGGAATGACAAAAGTCCAGACATATTCTCCCATCATAAACAACAAGAAAACTGGGTGAAAATGACATAACAAGTGTTTTCAGATGTTGGACAACAGATAGTGCAATACTTTGATTCCTAAGAAACGGGGGAAAAGTGAGGTAAGCCCTTGGCCTTCTGCCTGGGATCTCATTCTGTACCCCATGGCAGGTTGAGGAATCCTCAGCAGAGCTCAGCAGTCTCACTAAGTTGAGGACAGAGATTTAGTTCAGGGAGGCTGAGGTGACTCAAAATTGTGGAGCAGAGTTTCAGAGAGGAGAGCTGCATAGAAAAATCACTTCAGAGTCTTTGCCGAATATTAGGTCATGCATGCCTAGGGCAAAACTCCACGAGGCCAGGCAATGAATGGGGAGCTGGAGACTGAGCAATCCCCAAAAATCACAGCAGTGAGAGACATGTAAACTCCAACCAGCAGGAGCGGAACGTCCTCACGGATCACCTGGACCTTCAGTAGAGACCACAGAAGTGTCATGACTGGGTGGTGGGATTATCCCTAGAGTCATTGCTTCTCTAGACTTGCCCTAAAAATCTTCAAAACAAGCCTTGGGAGGATCAAACCGATCAACAAGTAACTTGTCTAACTGGCAGGAAACACTTCAACTTCTTTAAAGGACAACAAGAAAATCCAGATGCTCAAAACACAATATTCAGTATCCAATAAAAAATTACAGGACATGCCAAAAAGTAGGCAAATGTGTTCTATAATCAGGAAGAAAAATCAATCAGAAAATCATAGAAATGATAGAATCAGCAGACAAAGACTTTGAAACAGCTGTTAAGCTCTGTCGAAATGATAAAAAGTAAACATATATGTAGTAAAGAAATAAATGGAAGATATATTTTAAAAAGACAAAGTGAAACTTCTAGAAATTAAAAAAATACAGTATATGCCAATGAAACATCTTCTGGAAAGATTGAAAGTATAATTGCAAGAGAAAATATTAGTAAACTCAAAGTCTGGTAATAGAAACTATCCAAAATGAATCATATGCAAGAAAATGATCCAAAAAATAATGAACAGTGTCTCAGTGACCTTTGGGACAATTTGGAGTGGTGTAACATAAAGTTCCAGAAGGACAGGCTGGGGCAAGGGAAAACAGTAGAATATTTGAAGACATGATGGCTAAAATTTTCCAAATTTGATGAAAAATATAAGCTCAATGAACCTCAAATAGGAAAACAAAAACTCCACCGGAGCACATTATAACCAAATTTTTGAAAACAAACAATTTAGAGAAAATCTTAAAAGTAACCAAAGGAAAAAAGACACATTATGTATAAAGGAACAAAGATAAAACATAAGTACAGACTTCTCATCTGAAACTACACAAGGAGACAATGGACCATGTTATTTAAAGTGCTGAATGAAAGAACAAAATAAACTGTTGGCTTAGATTTCTAGATCCAGTAAAAATATTCCTCAGCAATAAAATTAAATAAATACTTGGAGACAAATGTGAGCTGGGGTAATTTGTTGCCAGCAGACTTAAACTATAAGAAATATTGAAGAATATCCTTTAGACAGAAAGGAAATTTCAGCAGATGGAAACTTAGATATAGAAAAGAAATGGAGAGTGCAAGGTGTGGTAAATGTGCAAGGAAATGTAAAATGGGCCCTTCAAAACAAATGTAATAATATATTTGCAAGCTTATAATATATGCAGAAGTAAAATGTGGAACAAAAGACAGGAGAGGTTTTTATATGTGAAGTGGTATAATATTATTTGAAGGTAGATTGTAATAAGTTAAGGAAACCTATAGTAAACCCTAGAGCAGAGACTGGCAAACTTGTGTAAAGAGCCAGATAGTAGAAATTTTAGGC
Organism: Homo sapiens; assembly: GCF_000001405.40. NCBI lineage: Eukaryota > Metazoa > Chordata > Mammalia > Primates > Hominidae > Homo > Homo sapiens. Next base: position 59,121,192 of record NC_000001.11, on the reverse strand, counting down.
TTTGCATGCTACATGGTCTCTGTGACAACTACTTAGTTCTGCCATTGCAGCATGAAACTCGTCAGCTAGATAGACAACCATAGGCAATACATAAATGAATGAGTGCAACTGTGTTCCAATATAACTTTATAAAAGCAAGCGATGGGTCAGATTTGACTGCAGCCTTTAGTTTGCTAACCCCTGCCTTAGAGCAAGAACTAAAAGTAAAATAAAATAAAATACTGGGCTAATAAGACAGTAGTAGAAATAAAATGGAATAATACAAAAACTTTCAATCCAAAGGAAGGTGGGAAAAAACAAGGAAAGAAAAAAGAACAGATGGGACTAACAAAAATACAAATAAGCAAGATGGTACACTGAAGCACCACAATACTGCTAAATATATTAAATGTGAAGCGCCACAGTATTGCTAAATTCAATTAAACCTAGTTGAAACACTCAAAGGACAGATATTTTAAGATCAGATAAAAAAGCAAAGCTCAACAATATGTTGTCTATTAGAAATCTATTGAAATATAAAGTCTTAGAATAAAGGGGTGGAAAAAACATACTGTGAAAATATAATAATAAAGCTGGAATGGCTATAATAATAACAGATAAAGTAGACTTCAGCATAAATGACATGACCAGAGATAAAGAGAGATGCTTCATAATGATAAAGGGATCAATTTATCAAAAGGATACAATAATCCTAAATCCCACCCCAGAGCTTCAAAATTCATGAAGCAAAAACTGACAGAAAGAAGAAATAGATAATTTACAATAATATCTGGAAGATTCCAATACTTCTTTCTCGGTAATTGATATCATAGATATAAAGAAAATCAGCAAGAATATAGTAGACTCTAACAAAGTTATTAACCATTTGATATTATTGATATTTATACAAAATTTCACCAATAGCAGAATATACCTTCTTTTTAAGTGCACATGGAACACTTAAGATATATTATATGCAAGGCAGTAAAAGAAGTCCCAGTAAATTTTAGAGTATTAAAACTATTTAAAGTATGCTCTTTGGCCACAGTAAGAATATGTTAGAAATCCTATTTCTAGGCACAGGTCTGGAAAAATCCTCAAATATTTGGAAATTATATAAGATAGTTCTCAATAACTAATGATCAGAAAATGAATCACAAAGAATATTAGAAGACACACTGTAGTGAATGAAAATGAAAATTCACTTTATAATTTGTGGGATGCCACTAAGACAGTGACCAGGGAGTTTATGGCTTTGTTTATATTGGAAAATTAGAAATGTCCAAAATCAATGACCAACCTTAAGATGCTAGAAAAAGAAGATAGACTTAAACTCAAGTGTGTATCTTTACACATTTGAAGAAAATAATACATATATGAACAGAAATTGGCTGGGCATGGTGGCTCACATGGTAATTTCAGTACTTTGGGAGGCTGAAGCTGGAGGATCACTTGAGCCCAGGAGTTCAAGACCAGCCTGGGTAACAAAGTGAGACCCTATCTTTACAGAAAATAAAAAATAAAAAATAATTAGCCAGGTGTGGTGGTGCACACCTGTAGTCTCAGCCCAGCTACTTGGGAGACAGAGATGGGGGATGGCTTGAGCCTGGGAGGTGGTTGAGATTGCAGTGAGCCATGATTACACCACTGCACTCCAGCCTGGGTGACAGAGTAAGACCCTGTCTCAAAAAAAAAAAAAAGAGAGATTATAAAACTTAGAAAAAATAATCAATGAATCCAAATCCTAAAGCTGAGTTTTTGAAAAGATAAATGAATTGATACATTTCTAGTAGAGTCATGAACTAGCAGAGGAAGAAGATATGAATGTTCAATAAAAAGAATTAAAAAGGAGCCATCATTACACATCTTACAGAAATTAAAATGATAAGGTAATAGTATAAACAACCTTATGCCAAAAATTAAACAATTTACATGAAATGTATCAATTCCTTGGAAGACTCTAACTACCAAAACTGATTCCTGATGAAACAGAAAATCTGTATTGCTCTAAATTTATTATAGAATTTGTTACCATTATTAAAACCTTTCCATAAATAACAATAAAGACTTCCAAGTTAAATTATGAAACAGTTAAGGAAGAAATAGTACCAGTCCATCACAAACTATTTCACAAAAGAGTGGAGGAGCGAACACTTCACAAATCATTTCATGAAGCTAGCCTTACCCTACTATCAAGACCAAAGAATTTATGAAAAAAAGAAAACTACAAACATATCCTTTGTGAACCTAGATGTAAAAATCCTTTTAAAGAGTAGTGAATAAAATCCAACAATATATAAAAAAGGACAATATACCACCTCTAACTAGGGTTTCTTCCAGAAATACAATGTTGGTTTAATATTTACAAATCAGTTAATGTTATTTTACATATTAACAGAAAAAAGAGAAAAATTCTGCAATGGATGCAGAAAAAACATTCTATAAAATTCAATATCCATTTATTACTTTAAAAAGGCAAGCCACTCAAGAGCTAAAAACAGAAGGGAACTTCCTCAACCTAATAAAGGGTGTCTGTGAAAAACCCACTAACATACAAAAGGTGAATGACTAAATAAATGCCTTCATCCTAAGATCAGGAACACGACCATCAACTTAATATCTTACATCACAACACAAAAAATTACTTGAAATGGGTCATAGATCTAAATCTGAATCTAAATCTCTAAATCTAAATCTATATCTATATCTAAAACTAGAAATTTCCAGAACAAAATACAGAACAAAATATTTACAATCTTTATGTTAGCAAATATTTCAATGGAAAGTATGCAATATGAAAACATTGGACTTAAAATTTTAAACTGCTCTTCCGAAGACAGAATCAAAAGAATAATAAGGCATTTCATAGTCTGGGAAAAATATTTGTCATAGACAAATCTGACAAAGGACAAGTATTCAAAGTTTATAAAGAACTCTTACAACTCATCAAAAGACTGAAAAAAAAATTTAAGTGGGCCCAAACTTAGAACAGGCACTTTCCAAATGAAGATATATGATTGGCCAATAAACACATGAGAAGGTGCCTAATATTATTAGTTATCAGAGGAATGAAAATTAAAATCACAGCAAAACATCAGGACACATCCATTAAAATGGCTAAATTTAGAAAGACTGATACTACCAAGTTTTGACCAGGGTGTAAAGCAACTAAAATTCTCATATGTACTGGTGGTAACTAAAACAGTATAACCACTCTGGGAAATTGTTAAGTGAAACATGTGGTTATCTTACATCCCAGCAATTCCACTTAAAGTTATTTACATAAGAGAAATAAAAACATATGTCCACACAAAGATTTGTATACAAATGTTCATAACAGCTTTATTGATACAGTTCCCAAACTGGAAACAACCAAATGACCATCAACAGGTGAATGGGTAAACACATTACTCCTCATCAAATAATTCAACCAACCAATCTACTGAAAAATGCAACCACATGGAGGAACCTAAAGTACTATTAGATACAAAGGTGTATATACTGTATAATTTTATTGATATGAAACTCTAGAAAAGACAAATCTAATCTACAGTGATAAAAAGTTGTTTGGCAGTTGTCTGTGGCTAGGGTTGATCAACTGGCTAGATAGAAAGATAATTTTTAGGTGACAATGGTGGATATCTTTCTTGATTGTGGTGGTGATTACATAGGTATATACATTTGTCAAAAATGATTCAACCATACACTTAAAATGGGAACACATTTTTGTATATAAATGATATTCCACAAACCCAAAGTTTCCAGAAGGCTTCCCAAGAGTTCCCAAGAGAGGTGCACTCAAGTTTCTGGAGCTCACCCTATGAACTCATCCACCTCAGTTCTCACCCATTTCTCACTCCCTCATCCCTGCTTCTCATGGCTGTCCCAGTTCTCTCTAGCATATTTCACCAGAAAATCCCTGCATGCTCCTCTCTGTTTTATCTCCCAATGCACCACCAACACGACACTGCTCTGTACAGAGCATTTTACCAAAGTTTTGGTGATAAAAGAGGAAAGTCACATCACAGGAAAGGAAACAATTAAGACTAAATGTCAGACAGCATGTCAGTGGTATTCATCCTCCGCCCCTTGAAGGCAGTGACTCACTGCCCCCTTCGCTCTTGGCTGCAGCCTCCTTCCATTGGGCTGGGCTCTTGTTCCTTTCTCTCCCCAATTCAAAGACATAAGACTCTGACAGGGGCTGACGGTGGGAAAACTCTCTAGTCCTATTATGTTGTAAAAGAGAAAAATGTAAATCTCATCCTTTCTTGCCCTTTCCCATCAAGAGGAGCCCCAGCACCTATAATTACATAGCCCCAAAAGCCAACTGGAGTGACTTTTTTAGCAGAACATTTACTTTCTTACAGAAAGTTTTCCTAGATTTGTGTGTTTCACATGGCACCCTTACTAAAAATGCAAACAACTGTGCCCACACCAAATCCAGTGAAGAAGAATGTCTTGGTTTGGGACCTGGTAATCTGTATTTCAACTAGCACGTCCCCTCACCAAACTCTCCCTACTTCGAATTCTTAGACAGCTGAAGACAGAAAAAAAAAATGCTGCTTGTTTTGTGGTTACTAAATTACCTAGGTATATTCTAATAAATGTCCTTTAAGCCAGAGGTCTCTCACCCTTGATTTCAGTAATTGACATTTGAATTCTTTGTGCAGGACTGGTCTATCTCCCAATCTATCCCCACAGCCCACACTTGGAGCACAAGGAAAGTTTGGACCACCAGCCCCACAATGCTGCAGTACGGGCAGAACTACAAAACTACAGTTTTGTCGTAAGCCTTCCTTGGGGTTCCCAGATTGCATTTAAAGCTGGTGGCCTGGGAAAAATAACCTCATATTGTGATGTCTGTCTGTAACTCCTTAAAGCCCTAAGTCACCACAGAAAATACCACTGCTCTGAACTACTGGTTACTATAAGTTGCTCATGCCACCAGAAAGTTTTGTGGCAAGTCCTAAAAATGCAAATTATCCTTTGGAATCTTTAGATTGACAAGATCTAATCAAATTTGTTAGACAAAGTTCTGGAAAGGTGGTCTGGGTGCGTGCTCTGTCTAGAGCCATAGAATTGCTTAAGGAAAAACCTTGAAATAGCAAATGATAAGACTTTCCTTGAGATTCACAGATGTTATCTACAAATGCTAGAAGCATGCCAAGGATGAAATTTCATTTTATGGGCCTCTTATCAGCGAGCAGACAAAGATCAAGAATCAACACTAAACATGTGGCTTGATGTAAATACAGTTTTTAAAGCCCTTCTGTTTTCCATTCCAATAATTGCTTACAGCACAATTCTTTTTTTTCTCCAGGTTTTGTTGAATTGCTTTGATTCCTCCTGAGATTATGAATGTAGAGACTAAGGTATAGATGTATTAACCTTAGGCATTAGCCAGAGACCTTTCAGAGGCACACTGTCTATCTGCTCATGAAAATTATGGTGATCCTCATGGCCCACAGATAACCATGCTTAATAGGCATCCACTTAGTCTTTTAAATATAAATATATTTGTACTTTTCTATTGCAAATTTTGAATCTCCCTGAGTACAGTTGACATACAAGTTTTTACTAGCCATGAGAATGTTACGACTCCATGGATAATAACGGCAACTAACATTTATTTAATGTCTCTATGTTCATGCCACCTTATGTATTTATCATGCCCTTCAGTCCTCCACACAATCCTATGAAAAAGGTTGTATGTTCACCTTCATTTTGCAAATGAGGCTACTGAGGAAAAGTTGCCACAACTGTAGATTGAGAGACAGAAGGTCCAACTTCAAAGTACTCCTGCCTAACTATGATGTTATACTCACTCAAGAGATATTTGCTGAGTGTCTACTCTGTGCCAGGCACTGTGATAGGCTCTGGAGATAAAGCAGTAACCAAAAGAGACAAAGATTTCTGCTCCGATGGAGCTTACATTTTGTCTCACATCTATCATGTGAATTTACAATAATTTACCTAACAAATCTCTGTTGTAGGATGTTTAAACTGCTTCTGATTTAATGACTTTAAAAATAAAAAAAATTAACAGTGTGAGGGAGAGCATTCTGATTTGTAAATCTCAATGTATCCTAGTCTCTGCTTATTTCTTTAGGAGAGTTTCCCAGAATGGGAATTATAAAGGTCAAGGATATGAATATTCATTTGAGTTCTTGATTCATATTGCTAAATAACCCCTAGCAATGGTGTAACAATTTACCCTTTCATCAACTTCGGCAGTTTTGAGAATGTCCATTTCACTGCACCCTTTCCAACATTCTTTCTCTCTTTTTAATCCTTGTCTACCTGATATCACATTTATAGCTCTGTAACAACAAATATGGTACTTACTAACTTCGTTTTATTTAAAGAAAATTAATTTCTCTTATTCAAAATAGTTGAAGAATGACATCTTGTTTTAAAAACACCTCACTTCCCCTCATAATCAAAAGGAAGAATTAAATACTTCCCTCACAGTGCATATGAATACATTTATTCAACTCTCAAATGTGTCTGAGAAACTTACCTGATACTGAAAGGCTTTGTGAACATAGAAATATCTCTGTGGAATGGTTCACAGGCACCTGTAACCATTGTGTCTGTGAGTAAATTGGCTTTTTTTGTGAGGTAGCGACTTACCTACCCTGAAGGAATCTAAAACCATGCCACTCAGCTGGAATGACATTTGATCTGTCCTGTTTTAGAATCTTCCTCGCTTGCACTACCTTTCTTAATTAAGTGCAATTTCTATCTTCTTGGAATTTCCAGAGCACATTTTATGTATCTCTGTTATGATACTTAACATAGTCAGGTTAAGTATGTACTTTTCTTAGCTCTTGGGCTAGAAAAATAGAGTCAATGGCACCTGCTGTATAGATATGTTGAGAGAATTAAATGAATCAATGCACATAAAGCACTTAGCACAGTGCCTAACACAGAAATACCTTCAACAAATATTTGTTGAATGAAGGAATGAATAGTCAATGCATAATAAATCTTAGATGCTGCCAGCTGCTGGCAAGCTGTTCTCAAACCTTAGTGTACATAAAATTAATTGGGGGAACTTGTGAGAATGCAGACCCTGAGGCTCCACCTCCAGAGACTGTAATTCAAGAAGTCTGGGGTAGGGGCCCAGGAATCAGGGTGACTCTGAGACGGGTGATCCAGACACCACACATAACTTAGGGAATCACTGATTAGCCTCTGAGCTCTGTGGTAGCAAGGAAACTATGATATTCATCTCTAAATGACCCTACACCTATCAATCCCAGTCCTTGGTATGCAGTAAGTGCTCAAGGAGAGGTAACTTGAATTTCAGCCTTGATGATGGAGGAGAGGTTGTTTCCAGTCCTATAAATACAAAGTAGACAGACAACCATGGTTCTAGAATGTTTGGACCCTTATCTCTCTCCAGACATGATCTCAAAAATATGGCTGCTCTTGTCCTGGAGCAGAATTTCCCCAAGGCTCACATTCTTCTATGTCCCCCTAAGCAGGACCAAAATTTGAGCACTTTACTATGTACCAAGTGTTTTATTTGATCTAATCCACATGATAGCTCTGGGGGCAGGGAAATTGAGGCTTAGAGGGTTTGTTACTTGTCTGGAGTCACACAGCAAGTAAGTGATGGGAGGGGGATTCATACTAGGCATAAACCATTGCCAAACCTGAGCATCTTTCCCATAGCTCCCTAGTGGGATGGAGGAAGGTAACTGAGAAACACCACCCTTGGCCTGCTGGGGCAGGTGAAGTGTGGGTTCCAGTGTGAGTGTCTGTGTGTGTGTGTGTGTGTGTGTGTGTGTGTGTGTGTGTGTGTGTGTGTTGCCAGCAAATTCCTGATTAGAGGTACCTGCATAAAACAGAGGAGATTTTTTCCCTTGTAAGTAGATACTATAAATACAGGTTATTAAATAACCCTGACTTCATCCCTAACTAACCAGCCCCTGCCAGTTTGCATGCTACTCATGTGTACAGCATGACTCAGAGGACCCTCAGGGAGCAGGTGGGCTAAAAATCTATCAAACAATAATAATTTTCATAGATGGGAGCTCCCCAGCTTCCCAGTTGGGTGTTCAGTTGATTATGAGTCATGAATTTCCTTTTTAGAGTAATATTTACCATGGAGCATGGCTGGTTATAGGGAATACGTAATATCCATTTATCTGATGGGAAACATATTATTAAAACATTACCTAATGATAGATTTACCTGATAAATAATCCTTGGGATTAAACAAAAAAGGCTGGGGAGGGGCTAGGGAGTGATTGAAGGAAGCAGAAAGGTGAACAGGAATAAGCCATAGCTTGGTCATAAATAAAGAGGGCATTTGTTCAGAGCTGGGTGTTAAAATGATCCTTACTGTAATAATTAGAATAGAGAAGAGAAAGGGAGAGACAGAGAAACTGGGTCAAAGATAGATTAAAGGAGGAGGGATTACGGATGAACATAGGAAATGGTTAATAACATAATAGTAGGCATCTTTTAAATGTATTGTTAGTATGTTCAGGCATTGAGCTAGTTCTTTTACATATATCATCATTTCTATTCTCATGAGAACCCCAGGGAACACTCCCACTACCACCCTTATTTTTGATTCCAGCCAGTAGAGTAAAGCAGTTGAAAGCACAAACCTGGGGGTAGAGTGTCTGGACTTGCATGTCAGCTCTCTATTTATTAGCCGTGATCCCTGAATTTTTCTGTGCCTGTTTTTTCATCTGTGAAATGAACATAATGATGATTTTGCCCACTTTTAGAGGGTTGTTTATAGGATTAAAATTTAGGAATTACTTACATCAGTGTGTGGCACATTTTAAACAATAAATTCAGCTACTATTTCAACTGCAGCTGAGGAATCTGAGCTCAGAAGCTAAATCACTTGTCCAAGATCACAGAACTAGAAAGTGACAGAGCTGGGATCTGAACCCGAGTCTGTCTGATTCCAGAACATGTGCTCTCAATCTCTCTGCCTTGGCTGATGGCAACAGTAATGGTAGGCACTAGAAATACCACAGAGCATCTTTTCCTAAGGCACATGATGCCAACACCTGCCATTTGAGTCAATCAATTTTAAATTTGTGGGGTTATTTTATAACTAGAGAGTACAATTTAGAAACAACCCTAGAGGGCATCTCATCCAAAAATTGCGAACTGTTAGCCCAGGTATCCACTCATTTCCTACAGATATGATTTGTTTGGTCTGCACAGTGTTGGCTGGTGCAGAGCTACGAAAGCTTTTGAATCAATTACTCAAATGAAAATTGTGAGGTTTCATGAAAAACAAACAAACTAACCCAGAGGTAAATATTCTCTAGAAAAGTTGGAGGATCTTGCAACACCAGACCCCTATCCTTACGTGTAAGAGTCAGGTGTGCTGAGAAGCCTCTGAGTCTGTTTTCATCACTTTTGGCTGTCTCCTGCATTGGGCCCACTTCACATGTTTATGTCCACATGACTGTCCTTGTGGACATCAAATATGGTCAATAGAACCCATGCTCACTAAACTTCCTCTTTTTAGACTTAATGCCTTGTTCAATACATTTTTCCAAAGGATGGCGTCTTAATCCTCTCCCCAGGCTGCCTTCCTCTTCTGAAGCCTTGCATGGATCCATGCCCCTCTTCCAGCATGTGGCACTGAGAGAACCCGACCCCTTGAGTGGAGACTGACCAGCACAGAGTACTGGGCAACAGTCAACTCACTTCGCCTGAGGCCTCCCATTCAATTGTCTCTTATTAGACCAGTCTCCCCACATTAAGGAAGACTTCCATGTGGCTCTCCTCAGCTTCCTGGTGACAAGGAAGCCTGGGATATTCCAGAACATGAGTCTGTCCCAGGGCCTTCACTGAGCATAGGAGAAGCTTCTTTCCTGAGGTTATCTCTGAAAGTTACAGGGTTTCTCTTCCACTACAGCCAAGCCCATCTTGTTCAAGTGTTTTCAAGATCACAGTGACACTCACTTAACTTGTACAGCTGCAAACAGTGACACCCAGCAAACTTCAGAGACTCCAGCAGGAGCCTCCAAATCAACAGCTCAGTAATTCCCCATCCCCGGTGAAGACCTCCTTCACGTCAGGCTCTGTGCTTCTGCCGCATTCTCATGAGCAGGTGCTGCTAACCTTGCTTTGAGTACCAGACTCTCTTATTTAATCTTCATGACTACTCTGCGAGGCAGGTGTTAAAATCCCTATTCTACAGATGGGAAAACTGAGCCTGAGCAAAGTTAATATCTTGTCCAATGATGAGTCTGTCTAATTTCAAAGCTCCATGTTCTTTACAGTCTAGCAAATATAAAAACTCGGATATATACTCTGGAGGAAAGAATATAAGAACATAATAAATCCTCTATAAGGTAAGAGGTAATTCAAAAAAGTGAGATAATATCTTACGGAGAAAACAGCTCATAGAGGACTGAGATAGCTCAGAGCTCCACAGAGAAGGTAAACTGGAGTAGATCCTTGAGAAATGGGGACAGTCTTTAGGGTGGAAGAGAAGATTACATATGGAGGCCACAGCAATACACAGTGTCGAATGGGAAAAATCTTAGGATATGTAATTTAGTTTACCTGACCTGGGATATCTTTGCAGTAATAAAGAGAAAGATAAGGCTAGATGATGACTGTTTCTCTAAGAGGCAATGAGGAATCCCAGATGGAGTTGGAGCGGTGGCCAGTCATAATCATTAGCCCCAGAGAAAGACACTCTCTCCTCCCCCACTTCCTCCTTCTGCTGATGTTGTGTCCTCCTGCTACAGACAGGCTTTAGTGTGGGGGTCCAAAGAGGCAGTCATGCATACTAAAACATGTATGGGCTTTGGAGATTGACTCCAGCTGGGGCAAAGAGAGTTGTGAGTTATTGATAGAAAAGGGGGCATTTGACCAGAGTTGTGAAGGACAGTTGAGCTGTCAGCACTCAGAGGACAAAGGACATCCCAGGTGGAGGGACCAGTGGGAGCAAAGGGACAGAGGCAGGAATTTAGCAGGTACATTTGGGGAGCAGTGAATAATTTACTCTTCCTGAAACAGACCGTTTGTGAGAGGACAAGGGGTGTGAAGTAGGTATAAGGCAGAAATGATAGATTTTTGGCAAACGTCAGAATAAGGGCTCCTTTTCTCATCTGAAACACAAAGTCGGCCTGGACCCATTTTGAGCAAGGGAGTGATATTGAAGACTTGGGCAATAGCTGGCAGAATGGATCAAGGAGAGGGAAGAAGACTATAGACAGACACCAAATAGCCGACCCAACATTTCAGGTGAGATGTAATGAGGATGTAATGTGGCAGTGAGAATGGAGCATTCTTTCTACCTCGGACTCCAGGAATATTGTAGTCTGGTTGTAAGCAAGACATATGCCTGTCATTATCATCATCTCCTCCTCCTTCCCGCCTCCCTTCTTTTCCTCTTCCTTTTCTTCTTCCTAGTCTTTCTCCTCCTCCTCTTCTTCTACCCTTCTCCTCCTTCTCTTTGCTTTCTCCTTCCCTTTCCCTTTCTCCCCTTCTTCTATAATTATGTACATCTCAATAGCTTACTCAGATTTACTTTCACAATTATTCGCTCATTTGATTGTTCAGAATGTTTTTCAACTCTGTAAGAATTAGAATTGGATTCCACTGGGAGTAACAGAACACCTAAAATAATGGTAAGCTTCCTTCTCTGTCTCATCCTGTAGGCAGCACAGGCCTAGTATGGCAGCTCCCTGATTGTCAAATCCAGCCTCTTTCTATCTTATTGCTCTGCCCTTCTCAACTCATGGTTTCCATCTCATCACTGAAGATGGCTGTTCAAGCTTTAGTCATATCTGTTTTTCAGACAGCAGCATGGCAGAGGAGGGCTGGGGAAGGGTACCCTCTCCCCTTTAAGGACACTTCCCGGAATTTGTACACTGCAGTTCTGTTTATGTCCCATTAGCCAGATATTGGTCCTTTGTGTTTCTTAGTCCTTTGTCCTCCTCTGTGTTTCAAATTGCCAGGCCTAGGGCTCAGGGAGACTGAGAAATGAGGGCTTTATTGCCACTTGCTGGAATTGAGACCTGCTAATGTGGCAAAGAGAGATCTCCTTGATCTCCCATTTTGAGGACCAGGCAGAGGAAAGTGATTACATTACTGGCAACACCAGCAGACATTTTCTTACCACTGCCTGTGTAGGCCTGTGCCATTATGCTCTGGGGAGCATGGAGAGATATTGAATGCCATATCTACCCTCAAGATGCTTAAATGCTCACAAACTGTAGAATCCCCCAGCTGGAAGGGATTTTAGGGATTGTCTAGTCCAGACCTCTCTCTACTTCATTTACAATGGAGTAGAAGAGAGGTCTGGACTAGATAATCACCTAGTGCAATTATGATGTGCATTTCCAGAGATGGGGGCTACCATCTGAACAACTTTCTCTGTGAGTCAACAGTGGTCATTTCTTACACTGAATGACATGTGCAACCCTGTAACTTCTATGTAGCTGCTCTGGTGTTTTCAGGAAACAGGTCTTGCTTATTCTTTATTCTACAAAATAAAGCATTTGCTATGTGAAGGCAGCTGTCACATCTGTTTGTCCATCTGTCTTCTGCTTTCCCAACCAGTCTCCTCTTTTCTAAAAGGGGTGTTCCATAAGTTTAAGCTCACATACTTTGGAGCTCTTGGGCCTGGCTCTGACACTTACCAGCTGTATGACCTTGAGCAAGTGACTTACCCTCTCTGAGCCTTCATTTCTCCATTTGTAAAATGAAGCTAATATTAATATTACTCACCTCACGACATTATTGTAAGGCTTAAATGAGCTGATGAATGTAAAACACAAAGCCTGACACCAAAGACAGCAGTTATTATCATTACTTATATCTTTATAATTAATAATAATGAAACATCTGGCCCCTCTTCTCTCTTGAGTAACTTGTGATATTAGCTAATAAAGGAAAGCAAACGTTTAACACTTGGGGGGGGGACATTAGCATAAAAGTGCTGCCTACAATTGTGAGGCATACTTTTTGTTCCTTTTACCAGTGCCACTGGATCCCTAATGCTGTTCATAAAAAATCACCTCCTGGGGTCGCCAGTTTGCTGTCTCCATTTGCAAACCGCCTCCTGGGAGGTTCCATCTGTTACAATGGGTATTGGCATTCCTTGGCTAATTTTTTTTTTTTTTCTGGTTAGCAGAAGCAGACAGAACACAAATAAACAAACATATTGGAGAACTCAGATTGTACGGCATAGGGAAAAGAAGTCAGGAGGACTGGGATTCTGAATTCCACCTTACCACCCACTGGCTGGGTGACCAGCGATAAGTTACAGTGCCCCTGTGGGCCTCTTGGATTTTTGAGATCCTGTTCAGCAACAGCATCTTGTGACTAGAGAAAGGATTTGCAATGGCCCGGATTCCCCTGGAATCTCTTTCTTCCCACCTAGGGCTGGTCCAGGTGGGACCAGCATCTGGGCGGAGGCTGGGTACATGCCCAGACAGCCCTGCATGGTCTGTGAGCCAAGCATAGCCTGCCTGCTACTAGGGTGTGATTGTTCTTGTGATTTGGCAATACCCGGCAAACATGTCCCATCGGGGCTGAGCTAAGAATAGGTCCGATGCTTGAGGCCCAGGAAAATCAGCAGCCCAGCACACATGAGGTTGCCCAACAAGGCAGAACCAAGCTGCCACCACCACTTTAGGGGCATGATGACCAAAGAGATGAGGTTTGGCCAATTTTTCCATATGTATCCTCTTTTTTCACCCTCCTCTGGTATCAGGGCCAGTGCCTTCCCACTCTCTTTTCTCCCTCTCTTCTACTTCTGGATAAACTGATTTCTGGAGAGGTACTGAACATGGGCATGGTATAGTGAAAAAAGCCGGTGTTTCGACATAGGGGGCTCAGGTTGAAATCCTGGCTGTACTATTTTCTAGCTGTTTGACCCATGAGCATGAGACCCTTTTGAGGCTCAGTTGCCTCAGTGAAATAGTGGTGTTAATTATCCTTAATTATAAAAAATTTTATGAGTTACTGAAAGCAGTTAGTATCTAGAGCAAGGTTCTCAAAATTTATCATACATGATAATCACTTGAGGAGTGGGGGAAGCTTGTTAAAATAGAGCTAGGCCAGATGCAATGGCTCATGCCTGTAATCCAAGCCTTTGGGAGGCTGGGGCAGGAGGATTGCTTGAGCCCAGGAGTTTGCTACCAGCCTGGGAAACGTAGTGAGACCCAGTTTCTCAAAAAAAAAAAAAAAAAAAAAAAGCTGGGTTTTGTGGTGTGCACCTGCACCTATAGTCCCAGCTACTTGAGAGGCTGAGGTCGGAGGATCGCTTGACCCCAGGAAGTAGAGGCTGCAGTGAGCCATGATCACACCACTGCACTCCAGCCAGGGCAGCAGAGCAAGACCCTGTCTCAAATAATAGTAATAATAATAATAATAATAATAATAATAATAATAATAATAATAAAATAAAATAAATATAAAAAACCAGAGGGCCCCACTGTACTACACCCCCACTTTCTGATTGGGTGGGTTGGAGAGCATGGTCTTCCTAGCACGTCTCCAAAGGATGCTGATGATGCTGGTCCAGCAATCATGGTGAGGAGGAGCACGAGGTTAGAGGTCCAGTATGTGAGCTCTGGGGTCTGACCATGAGAGTTCAACCCTGGGCCCTGCCCCTTCTAGCAGAGTGTCTTTGGGCAAGTTCCTGAACCTTTCTGAACCTTATTTGGAAAATGGGAGAATAATAATTGTTACTTTATAGTGTTGATCTGAAGATTAAGTGAGTTCATTCATACAAAAGCACTTAAAACAGCATCTGGCAAACAGTAAGCTTTGAGTGAACATTAGCTTTTATTAGTATCGCAGAGTCTGCACAGGGTTCAGTACGTGTTCTTTTTCTGCTCTCTCCCTGCAGTTATTGCCAGTTTCGCTTGAATTTCTGTCTCTAGGCCACCTCTCCCAGGGTCTGTGCTCTGACCCTTGCCCTTCTGCATGGAAGGGCAGGCATATATTGGGAGGATCTGGGGCCACCAATGTGCACAGACTGAATGTTAAAGTTTAGAGATCACAGACGAACCTGAAACCCTCAGACAGGAATGGGCTTACCCCAGGGGATCCGTTCTGGAGTAGCAAAACTAGAACTTGACCCAGGTTTTCTGTCTTCCCAGCCAGGACACTTCCCACGACATCATGACCTGAGCCCTGGCTATTCCTGAGAGTGCTTAGGAAACAACCAGCTCCCCACCCTACTCCTACACCATTGCTTGCTTGGCATTTGGGAGGTTTCTCCTTTGATTGTTTGTGCTTGAGGATGACGCAGTGGTAAACATTTAACATCTGACTACAAATAACTATTTTCTTTTGGATTTTTTTTTCCCTTTGGGCTAATGTCCTCAGAATGGAATTACTGGGTCAAAAAGTACAGACAGTGTTATAACTAAAAGAAAACTAGACTTAGCAATTCTCCCAGGGGGAAGAACTCACTGCTCAGAAATCTGAAGGTGGCTGGGATGTTGGTGTCTGAAGCAAGTTAGGGAGTGGAGGGAGAGCCCAGAGCTGAATCTTCAAGTCAGCAGTAGGAGATAACAGTGGCTGGGGGAAGAGAGCCCTGGACTGAGAACAAGATGCCTATAAGCCACTGGTAATTTCCCCAAGAAATGGTGTTTAGACCAATGCCTCTCAAACATTAATGTGCTTAGGAATTCCTTGGGAGATCTTACTAACATTCAGGATAAGATTCAGGAGGTCTGAGGGGGGCAAGATTCTGCATTTCTAACAGTTCTAGATAAGTTTTGGTAATGCTAATTCTGCTGATCAACGGACCACACTTTGGAAAGGCAACGGTTTAGGTTACCATGCTTTTGCTCATGGTATTTCTCTTTCTAACCCACCAGTCCCACCATTTTTCTGACCCAGCTCTGAAGATGTCCCTGGATTTACCTCACCAGGCTGGGCTGGGTACCCCTCTTCTATGGTACCCTGTACCTATGACTATGACAGCACTTACCTTGCTGTACAAAATTGTCTGTCCCTCTCTCTTCCTAGGGCATGGAGCAGTCTTATTCATCACTGTATTCCCAGCATCTAGCACAATGCCTTTTGTGATGTGGGCCTAATTATTATTTATTTATTTATTGAGACAGGGTCTTGCTTTGTTGCCCAGGCTGGAGTGCAGTGGTGTGATCTCAGCTCACTGTAATCTCCACCTCCCGGGTTCAAGCGAGTCTCCCGCCTCAGTCTCTTGAGTAGCTAGGACTACAGGTGTGCACCACCACGCCTGGCTAATTTTTGCATTTTTTAGTAGAGATGAGGTTTCACCATGTTGGCCAAGCTGCTCTTGAACTCCTGAACTCAGGTGATCCGCCTGCCTTGGCTTCCCAAAGTGCTGGAATTACAGGCATGAGCCACTGTGCCTGGCCGCCTAATTATAATTATTACTCTAGTGGGTAAATAGATGGATAGATGGATGGATGAATTAGTAAATAACTATAAGGAGAAGGGAATAGAAAGTGATGGGTTAGGAAAAGCATCATGAGCAACCAAATTTGGCTTCAAGATCACTGTTATCCACTTGGCATTCTTTGAACCATATTCACCTACATATTCACCTACAAAGCCCGGAGTCAGTGACCCTCCTCTGATCCTTGCCAGCTTTTTGCAGGCCCTGAAAAATGTTGACCCTGAACCAAGAGTGAACTCAGATAAATGAATAAGATCCAGGAAGCTTAGAGGTCCTTCACAGGGTGGCTCTAATAAATACCAGAAAACAAATAGCAGGTGTTGGCAATCTTTCTCCTGCCCAAAGAGCTATTTACACAAGTTTCCAAAACAATCCCTTCATCGCTTTACATGCCTATTACATGGTTCTCTTTAGGGAAAGGTCTGGAGTTGGTTAGCTCAGTGGATTGAAGAGTGAGTCCCTGAAAGACAAAGGATGGTGGGAGGGGGCCTTTTTCCTTCATTTTCTCCAAGGCTGCAAACTGACTCCCCAATCCTGGCCACTGTGCCTATGATCCTTTGTCTTAATGATTAGAGAAAGCACGAGTCTGTGCAAACCCGATTCTCCTGCTCAAAATGAAAGGCAGTGCCACGAAGTAGAATGAACTTGAGCTTTGGTATCAGACAACCCTAGGTACAAAAACACACATGCCTCAGTCACTTCCAACTGTATACTCTTTTTCTAAAAATACCTTTTATTTTGTAACATTTCAAATCTGTAGAAAAGTTGCAAGAACAGTACAGAAAAATCCTGTGTACATTTTGCCCAGATTCACCAATTTTTTTAATCTCTCTTTTTATTATTATACTTTAAGTTCTGGGATACATGTGCAGAACATGCAGGTTTGTTACATAGGTATACACATGCCATGGTGGTTTGCTGCACCCATCAACCCATCATCTACATTAGGTATTTCTCCTAATGCTATCTCTCCCCTAGCCCCCTCCCCTCTGACAGGCCCCGGTGTGTGATGTTCCCACCACCCCGCCGTGTCCATGTGTTCTCATTGTTCAACTCCCACTTATGAGTGAGAACATGTGGTGTTTGGTTTTCTGTTCCTGTTTTAGTTTGCTCAGAATGATGGTTTCCAGCTTCATACACGTCCTTGCAAAGGACAGGAACTCATCCTTTTTTATGGCTGCATAGTATTCCATAACAGATTCATGAATTTTTAACAGTTTGTCATATTTGCTATCTCAGTCTCTTTCTTTCTTCTGAGTTTTTTGTTTCAGTCTTTCTCATTGAAGGTGGCAAAAATTCACTGAAACAAAAATATTAAAATAAAAAGGTTATTCAGAAGTCACAAAACTGAATTAAAAGAAACAAGTAAATTTCAAAATGATACTGTTTGTAAGTTGTAGCATTTATATTTTGAAAACTTTAAAAGTTAAATCTGCACTAAGATTTGTGGGACACTCTGTAATAGAGTCATGTGTCACTTAACGAAGGAGGTATGTTCTGAGAAATGTGGCATTAGGCAATTTTGTTGTTGTTTGAACATCATAGAGTGTACTTACACAAACCTATGTGGTATAGCCTACTGTGAACCTAGGCTTATGGTATAGCACACTGGTGCTAGGCTACAAACCTGTACAACATGTCACTGTACTGTTGTACACATGGCAATTTTCACACAATGGTGAATATTTGTGTATCTAAACATAGAAAAGATACAGCAAAAATACTGTATTATAGGCTGGGCGAGGTGGCTCATGCCTGTAATCTCAGCACTTTGGGAGGCCGAGGCAGGTGGATCACCTGAGGTCAGGAGTTTGAGACCAGCCTGGCCAACAGGGTGAAACCACGTCTCTACTAAAAATACAAAAATTAGCTGGGCATGGTGGCATGCACCTGTAATCCCAGCTACTTGGGAAGCTGAGGCAGGGAGAATCACTTGAACCTGGGAGGCGGAGGTTGCAGTGAGCTGAGATGGCAACCTTGCACTCCAGCCTGGGTGACAGAGCGAGACTCTGTCTCAAACAACAACAACAACAACAAAAACAGTATTATAATCTTATAGGAACACCATCATGTATGTGGCTAACCGTTGATTGAAATATCATTTACAGTGCATGACTGAATTATATAATAATATATAATGTATTTTTTGAACCATTTAAGAGTAGGTTGCCTATATCATGCTCCATATAGCATACCTTTTAATACTTCTGTATATACTACCTAAGAACAAAGGTATTCTCTTATATAACCCCAGTGAAGTTTCAGGAAATTTAAAATTAATAGAACACTTTTATATATAGGTCATATTCCAGTTTTTAAAATTGTACCAATAGTGTCTTTTACAGTAGCCTTTGTTTTTCTCCAGTATCTGAAGTAATTATTTGGTATATTTGTTTCTGTTTGTATTCAGTTTTATGTTTTTCCTTGTTGATTTAACTTTGTTTTTTGAATCTGTAGAATATTAACATTCTTCCAAAGTCAAGCTATACAAAAAGGTGTACTCAGAGAAGTGTTCTCCCTTCATTCTCTCAAGCTTTGCAGGTAACCAATTTTATTGTTTCCTGATTTATCATTCCTGTGTTTCTTTTTGCAAGAGTAAGGAGATAGATACATATGAGTTTTCTTATTTCTTCTTTTTTTCTCACAAAAGGTAGCATCCTATATGTATACTTTTGTGCTTTGCTTTTTTTCTGGCAATCACTCCAGGTGCACTCATGGAAATGTTCCTTATTTTTTTTTACACTTGCGTATTTGTGGTAGATTATTTGCTGCTCCTCTGAGCTACAAATTATCTGCTGCTCCTCCTAGGGAGAGGTAGAGTCTATTTCCTCTCCCTTGAACTTGGATGGCCTTGTGAACTGTTTGAGCAATAGCGTGTGGTATATGTGATGTTCTGGGACTTCTATGCTCAGACCTTAAAAGGACCATTGGATTTTGTTTTCTCACTCTTGGAAGGCACCTACCATATTGTAAAGAAGCTCAGGATAGGCCACTGGGTGATAAGAGGTCACATGCAGAGTGGTCCTGGAGAACAAGAGACCATCTTGTGTGTTCCGGCACCAGCTGAGTGACCTCAACCTATTTCATATGGCCAAGAGAACCACCCAGCTGAGCCCAGTCAACTTACAGAATCATGAAGCATAATAAGTTGTAGTTTAAAACCAGTAAGTTTTGAGGTGGTTTGTTACCAAGCAATGGATAACTGAAACAATAGTATGCCGCTGTAGGTATGCTTGATCTCCCACATTTGAGCATTTAGGTAGTTTTTGCAATTACAAATAATGCCTCAGTGAATGACCTTGTGCATATGTATTTTTGTATTATTGGTTGTGTATCTTTAGGGTAAAACTCTAGAAGTAGGATTACTGAATTTTGCTTCTGAATTTTTGCCAATCTGATGTGTGAGAAATGGTATCTCACTGTAGTTTTAATTTGCATTTGTATTAGTTATCTATCATTACATAACAAATTGTCTCAAAATGTAGTGGCTTAAAACATTAAAAGATTGCTATCTCATAGTCTTTGTGAGTCAGGAATCCAGGCATAGTTTAGCTGGTATTTCTAGCTCAGGGCCTCTCAAAACAGCAGATCAAAGTGTCTGCTGCGGATGCAGTCATCTCAAAGATGACTATCCATTTCCAAGCACATTCATGTGGCTGTTGGAAGGCCTCAAGTTTTTGCTGGCTGCCAACTGGAGACATCCAGAGGGTGGATCACAACATGGCAGCTGGCTTCTCTCAGGGCAAATGAGCTAGAGAAAGACAGGAGGTACCCAAAACAGAAGCCACAGACTTTTTGTAACCTAATCTGAGTAGTGACATCCCATCACTTTTGCAATATCCTACTCATTAGAAGATAGTCACTAGGTCCAGCTCACAATCAAGTGAAGGCAATTATATAAGGGTGTGAATACCAAGAGGTGGAGATCATTGACACCTTGTTAGAGGCTCCCTACCACAGCATTTCTTAGCAGGAGTGGCTCATTTATGCATATATCTCTGGCATCTATTCATGTTTTTTTACATACAATCTTTGTTTTTCCCCTTGAGATTTGAAATCTCTTTATATGTTAGAAATTATCTGTGATTTGCATTGTAAGTACTTTTTCCAAATTTGTCATTTGTCTTTTGGCTTTGCTTATGGTATTTTGCCATGCAAAAGGTTTTTTGAATCTTTTAAGTAGTCAAATTTATCAATTTTCTTCTTTTATCATATCTTGACTTTGCGTCACAGTTAGCAACCCTTTCTCAACAGTCAGCTTATAGGAAATTTGTCCATGTTTTCTTCTAATACTTGTATTATTCACTTATTTTACATTTAGATCTTTGATGCATTTGGAATTTATTTTTATCTATGGTATAAGGAATAGATCTAATTTTATATTTTTCAAATGTCTAATTGTTCCAATACCACTTATTAAAAAGTCAATTTTTTTCTGATCATTAAAAAAAAGTTTGAAAAAAAGTCCATTTTTGTCCTAATGATCTGAGTTATTACTTTTATTATATTCTTGAACTTCATATATGGTTAGGTTTATTTCTGGACTTCCTAATCTAGTCTATTGGTATGCCTATTCACATAGCAGTGTTACACTATTTTAACCTATAGATGTTTTAATATTTGGTAGGGCTAGTGCCCTCTTCTAGCAATTTCCTTCAGTGTTTTCCTAGCCATTTTTTTGCATTCTTATTTTATACAAATATTTATTTATTTATTTATTTTTTGAGATGGAGTCTCGCTCTGCCGCCCAGGCTGGGGTGCAGTGGTGCGATCTCGGCTCACTGCAAGCTCTGCCTCCCAGGTTCACACCATTCTCCTGCCTCAGCCTCCTGAGTAGCTGGGACTACAGGTGCCCGCCACCACGCCCAGCTAATTTTTTTGTATTTTTAGTAGAGATGGGGTTTCACCATGTTAGCCAGGTTGGTCTTGATCTCCTGACCTCGTGATCCGCCTGCCTTGGCCTCCCAAAGTGCTGGGATTACAGGCGTAAGCCACCGCATCTGGCCTTTTGTACAAACTTTAATATCAGCTTGTTTAGCTTCAGGAAAAACAGCTTTTTTGTATTTTTATTAGTATTACAATAAATTAATAAATTAACTTAGGGTAGACTGGCTGACTGATAATGTTGAGATGTCTGAACCAAGAACAGAGATATTTTTCTATTTGTTCACGTCTACTTTTATGTCTTTTAGGTGTGTTTTAGTTTTCTTCATATAATTTCTGAACATTTCTAATTTAAAGTTATGTAATCTTAAGTTACTTCATCCTTCTGAATCTCAGATTTCTCATCAATCAAAAAGGGGATTGTAATATCTTTCTTGAAGACTTTTTATGAAAAGTAAATGAGGTAAATTGCAGAATAAGCGCTGTGTTAATCCTGGTTTCCTTATTCCTTCCCTTGAAGCTCATGCTTGCTCTTGGGCAGGGAGAGAAAGAGAATAATTTGTTACATACATCTAGCAATAACATTGTCTGTGTCAGTCAATAAGTAAATCGATATTCTGGAGTTCATCGTGTACCAG